>NW_025791767.1:0-244725 GCF_000001405.40 Homo sapiens
CTAGGGGAGGGGGGCTTGGGAAGTGGCAAAAGAAGGAAAGACATGGGAACACAGAGCCACGTGTCTTTGCTTGGGTCAGTGCTGGTTGGTGACGTGCAGTTTTATGTCCTGGTGCAGCTTCTAGAGTTACCTGGGCACTTTGGCGGGCGGCTGTGGTCGGGAAGGAGGAAATGCAAAGCTCGAGTAGCCTCCCTCGGGGGTCCAGAAAGGGAAGGGACTCTCTGAACCCACTCGGTGAGTCGGGGTGCTAGCCGTACTAAAGCCTAGGTCTCCTGGCAACAGGTCCAGGGTTTGTTTTCCGGTCTCACTGGAGTCTAAACCCAGCTTGGTTCCAGTTGAACCAGAAAGCTCAGGGGACAACATGCCCAGCTCTGAGGTTGATGGGCCCTGTCCCATGCCCTGGAAAGCCCTGCTGTATGGCCTGGGCCTGGCCGACTTCAGACTCCTGCTGTGGATGCCGGCTTTGCTGTGACGACCAGAAAACCAAGTCCATGCTGCGACCCGCGGCCTCTAAAAGGAAAGGGGTGACATGCCTCCTCTCTTCCAACTAAAATCTACAACGGGCTGCAAATGTGGGATCATTTAGAGACCAAAGTCTTCCTGTGTCAGGTACTTGTTACTCTAAGTTTCTTTCACATGTTATAAAGCAACACAACTTCAGGGGAGCAGAGTGGACAGTGTGCCTCTTTCCCCTCAGCCCTGGGTACTCAATAGGCTGAAGAACAGGTGATGAGCAGCTTGGTGGGTGGCTTCTCACCTGTCTACTAGCAGGCCCCTTCTCTTCCCACCCACCTGTCCCTGAATAAGAAAACAATCCCTAACCTTTTTTTTTCCCTAAGCATAATTTAACACTGAGTTCTTTGGTTGCTCTCTGAAGCTTTTTATGTAAATTATTGTGAGTCTGCACGAATGGGATAATGCCTTATTACAGGGGTTCACGAGCTGTGTGTATTAAATGTTGTATTTAAAATGTTTAGTACATTTAAATTTTATGTGTGAAATCTTTATATTTTCTTTTCCAAGTGCTGTGATCAATTCTGTGTGACCTCTGGTCATTCTTTCTTCCTTGTTACCTTCCTTTTCTGCTCAGATAGCCTTGACTGGTCTCCACCAAGGTCTCTATATACAGTTGCACAGGCTGTGCACTGCACAACTCCAGGGAGTACCATTGATTTTATAATCTATGGGCTGAAAGGTATCTTTGGAGTTAAGGATTATGGCAGCCCTGCTTCCTTCCATCCATCGTGTGGTCACAATTTACATAGGCAATTCTAATTCCTTTGTATAATTAATGACTCATAGGTTATATCCCAGGGCCACTTGGAAGCATTTTTGGGGTTACCTGCTGTTCTGTATTATCCATGCTTGACTCTCCCACTAATGCATGTGATTAAGAGTTACTCCTGCTCTCTCAGTTGAGTTGAATCAAGGGGAGAAGAGCAAAATGTCAGTATGGGAACAGACTAATACAGAGAGCAAGGAAGGTAGTGGTGAGCAGCAGTCAGGCCGTGAACTGGGCGTTAGAGCTGAGGTAAGGTCCAGGCTGCTGGGCGACCCTTTGTGCTAGGAAGGGCCTCTTTCCTCTACAGGTAGGGAGGAAATTTGTCTTTGCTTCTGCCCTGACCTTTAACTCTCTATTAAATGGGATTCTGTATCTTTGGGCCAGCTGCTTCTTCGGCTTATGCCTCAGTTTTTCTATCCAGAAAAATGGGGTGATACCTGCCATGCTAACATCAGAGAGCTCTTGTAAGAACAAGGCATTTTGTGCTGAGGTCACGGTGAGCCAGCCCTGCAGAGAGAGCTCAAGACTTCTGGGCTGAGGCTGAGGGATGGAGGCTTGGGAGCTCCTAGCTCGCATGCTTGGTGCCTCTGCATGAGGCATGCCTGGTGCGTGTCTGTGTGTAGTGTATGATGTGGTGGAACCAGGCCCTGGGGACATCCAACCTAGTGTGGCTCCAGGCATGTGTCTTGGATTACTGAGCCTCAGTGGGTGAGCAGATGACAGAATCCTGCTTTAGAGAATATGAAGAGGATTTGAATGCTTAATAGGAAAAGAATGGACCAAACATGCTACAAGAAATCTACAAAATGTCACTGGCATCGGCTGGCCTTCTCCCTCTCATGTGTGTTGACAGGGCTTTGTAAATAGTCTGACTAAGCCCTGTTCTCTTGTGACCTAGAAATTCACAATTTGGGTTTAGGTTTGCTCCTGGGACTTAACGTGTTGGTCGGTTGTGGAGAGAAACAAAGGGGACATGGAATAGTTTCTTGGACTCACATCAGAAAAACCCTGTAAACAGCTCGTTGGCCTTCAAGAGCCCCCGTTCTGCACACACCAGCAAAAGTGCCCACTTGGAGGTCTGAAGCACCTGATGCTTTATGTCCTGTGGGTTCCCAATCAGCCCATCAAACAGCCTGTAATCAGGGCTGAGGGTGAAACTCCAAAGCCCTAGGAGATGTCACCCACCCCACCTGGGACACGTAAGTCCACTCTTTAAAAGCCCAGTCCGTTCTTTGCCTCTCAAAAGCAGTCATTCACCATCAAACCCTAAAAGATGCCTCTCAAAAGCAGTCATTCAACATCAAACCCTAAAACACTGGGTAGAAATGGAGGCCTTCAGTAGCAACCTTTACATTTATTAGGCTTGTGCAAAGTAATTGTGGTTTTTGCTGTTAAAAGTGATGGCAAAAACTATAGTTACTTTTGCACCAACCCAATATGAACCACGCTAATCTCAAACTCTATTTTATATCAACTCTTTCCCCTGCAAAATGCTAGTTTAGCTCCTATTTGCTGATACCTCCAGGTGTTTTTGGCACTCTTCATCCAGTTTACTCCCTCCACCCCCATATCTATCAGAACTTAAAGCTCAAAGGTTGAGGTGACACTAAGGGTTAAAGGCCAGCTGTCATCGTCTGCCATGGCCCCAAACAGTGTGTGAGGCTTGCAGGTTAGGATCCCTCCGTGCCCAAAGCTCCCCCCATGCCCCCAGGCACTGTCGCCTAGGGAGAAGCCAGATCTCTGACCCACAGATGCCCTTGCTTTCTGTTTCACCACCTGCTTCCCCCTGGCCCATTTGCTGAGGACTGTGGGCTTCTGCATTTCAAGGGGAAATGGAGGGGGGTCCCCTAGCCTGGCCCCTTAGTCTGGAAAGAAATGGACAAAATTCCATTTTAGCTATAAAGCTGAGAAAGAAAGGTATGTGCTCAAGACACATTTTTGGGGACAGGAAATTTCCCAAATCATTCACTTTTCCCTATAAAAACACACTAAAGCAGTAGTATAGCTATTTACTTACACGAATTAACGTGACATTATTCAAAATGACTATGAGTTTGAGCTTACAACATTTAGGATCTGAAAAAATAATCCCCTTCCCCCTAGATAAGCATGACATATACTCCACAGTAAGAGTACAGGACGAGAGAATCTGGGGACTGGAAGCAATCTTTGAGTTTATTTTATAGATGAGGAAACTGAGGCCCAAGGTGGGGTACTGTTTGGCCGTAGCCAGAATGCAAACTCATGATCTGGTGCCCGCAGGGCGCCAGGCTCTTCTGGGGCAGTCTTGCTGTGTTTGAGGAGGGCTCACACATGAAATTGTCTGGGCAGTCACTGTCTTCCATTTGAACACTGCAAGTGGTTTGGTCACAGACTGCCAGGGGGTAATGAGGACCCAAGGATTTGCTGTTTCCTTAGATTTCTGGGCCACTTGGGGCACTCAGCCATTGGCTTGATCATGGTAGAGAAAAGCTTGTGCTCACAAGCAGGGTACTTTTTTAGATGTAGTTTTTCAAAGAACAAGAGAGAAGATGGGTCCCACTAGGAAGCAAAAGCTCCGTAAATTTCTGACATTTGAGCCTTTGTGGATGAACCCCAGCAAATGGCAATGCACACTGGCTAAGGAAAGGGCATGTGGTTGTGAAGCAGCTGAGGAGGCAGTAGGCTGTTCCTGCCAACCAGGAAGCTGCCCAGAAGTGGCCGAGAAAGGCCAGAAGGAGGAAAGCCCCGTGAGGGAAGCGGGAGTGGCTCTCCTCTACTCAGGTGCCTCGGGGCCAGGCTTGTCCCCAGAGCATCAGCCAGTTCCCAGCAGCGTGTGTGCTGTGTGTGTGTGTGTTTGTAATATTTGTGGTGTGTGTGTGTATGTGTGCATGTGGTATATCACGTGTGTAGTGTGTTTATGTGGTGTGTGTACGTGTGTGTAATGTACGGGTGTACTGTGTATGTATGTGTGTATGGTGTATGGTGTCTGTGTGGCATGTATGGTGTGTGTGTGATGTGTGTGTGTGGTGTGGTGTGTTCATGTGTGTTTTCTGTCTGCATGGTATCTTTGTGTGTGTATGTGGTGTAGGGTATGTGTGGTGTATTTGTGTGTGGTGTGTGGTGTTTGTGTATGCGTGGTGTGTCTGTGTATGTGTATGTGGTATGTGGTGTGATTTGTGTGTGTGTGTGAGATATGTGATGTGTGTGATGTGTGTGTCTGATATGTGGTGCGGTGTGTAGTGTGGCATGTGGTGTGTTTGTATGTGGTATATATCGTGTATGTGTACAGGTGTGTTTGTGTGTGTGTGGTGTGATTTGTGTGTGGTTGCTGTTTGCGTGTGGGGTATGTGTGTGGGGTGTGTGTGTGGGGGGGTGTTGGGATGTAGGGTGTATGGATGTAGGTATGTGTGTATGTAGTGTGTGTGCAATGTGTGGTGTGGTGTGTGTGGAATGTGTGGTGTGGTGTGTGGTGTGTATGTGTGTGGTGTGTATGTTGTGTGTGTGCATGTGTGTGGTGTGTGTGTGGTGTGTATGTGTGTGGTGTGTGTGTGGGGGTGTGTGTATGTGTTTGTGTTGGGTGTATGTGGTGTATGTGGTGCGTGTACGTGTGTGTATGTATGCATGTGTGTGTGTGTATGTGGTGTGGTGTGTGTGTGTGTTTGGTGTCTGGGTGGTGTCTTTGTGTGTGTGTGGTGTGTGTATGTGTGTTGGGGGGGTGTATGGGTGTGGGGTGTGTATTAGTCCTTTTTCATGCTGCTGATAAACACATACCAGAAACTGAGCAATTTACAAAAGTAAGAGGTTTAATTGGACTTATAGTTCCACGTGGCTGGGGAAGCCTCACAATCATGGTGGAAGGCAAGGAGGAGAAAGTCCCATCTTACATGGATGGCAGCAGGCAAGGAGAGAATGAGGAAGACGCAAAAGTGGAAACCCCTGATAAAACCATCAGATCTTGTGAGACTTATTCACCATCACAAGAACAGTATGGAGGAAACTGCCCCCATGATTCAAGTTTCTCCCACCAGGTCCCTCCCACAACATGTGGGAATTATGGGAGTACAATTCAGGATGAGATTTGGGTGGGGACAGAGAGCCAAACCTTATCAGTGTGTGCGTGTGTGATGCATATGTGGCATGTTTGTATGTGTGTGTGGTGTGGTGTGTTTGTGTTTGTGTGTATGTGTAGATATTTGTGTATGTGTTTGTGTGGGGTGTGCATGTGTGTGTGGTACTGTGTGTGGGGTGTACGTGGTGCATGTGTGTGTACGTGTGTATATGTATGTGTGCGTGTAGTGTGTGTGTGTGTATATGTGTGTGTATATATGTGTGTGATGTGTGTGGGGTGTGTTGGTACAGGGCAAGAAGACTTCCCTTGGCAATGGAGGGCACAGGACATTTTGATGGGACCATTTTGACACACAGACATGTGGCAGTGGCATTAAGAAAACACCAGGAAATGCATAGCCTTTCTTTTATTTTCTTTTCTTTTTCTAAATTCCTAAGGAATGTGTGTAACTGTGCTCATCGGCACCCTTGCTCAGACACAGGTGAGGCGAGGCTTGGGGCCTAGGTAATAAACAGGGGTTGTTAGTCATATACGTTAATTGATAAAAACAAAACAAAAAAGACAGTAGAAAAATGGAGTTGTGATATATTGGAAGGGACTCCATCCAAAAGCCAGCAGTCACAAACTGCCGCATCTAAGTCTCTAGCTTCAGGCCTCAGCTTGCCGGCAGCTCTGGGGAAGTCCAGTTGAGAGGCTGCACGCAGCCCAACAGCCCTCCCGGGCCTGTTACCAACAGGCAGGTGCCCAGCGGCAGGGCTCTCACCTCCCTGCTCAGACCTCTGCACCCCACTCACCCCCGTTAAGCCCTTGTTCCTTTACCACAGGACTCCATCTTCTGATTGGTTGATCACTGGGGGATTCAAGGGAGGCTGCGAGTTGGAAAGGCAGTTGTGGGGAAGACTTTGGACAGGCAGGTCAGCCTGAGTGTCTGAGGCTACTGTGGTGGTTAACCCTTCCTCTGCTGGCTGTAGGGCCACACAGGTCTGATCCCTGGGTTCCATTTGTCCAAAATCAGCACTAGTGATATGTCCTGGGCCTTCAGCTGATTCTGAATCTTGCAGATGCCTGAGAATGACTGCCTCTAGGGATGTGTCCTCATGGCCTGGCTGGGCTTGGGCCCCTGGAACTGGACAACAGAGGTCTTTATCTCAGGAAGGACTGCATTTGGGTAAAGTGATTGAGTCAGAGCAACAGGGCCTCAGATCAGCCTTGAGGCACTGGGAGTGCGTTAGTCCCCCTCCTAAGCATCCTAGGTCTTTGCTTTGGACTTGGCATACGCTTAAAGAGCAGGAGAGGGCATCCTGGGCACCAATCCCGGACTGCTGCTGCTGTTCCACTCCTTGGAGCTCCCTCATTCACTGGAACCATAAACCTGCCCAGAGACACATTGAGGAACGAGGAGGTTGGCACCAGCCAGAGCTGTCCAGGCTGGGGGACTGGCAGGCCGGGCAGGCCAGAGTGCCTGCGTGCAATAGGGGCCTCATTCATAGCTGCTGAATGGAAGAGAGTTGGTGAGGCAGCAGAGGGGCTTCCCTGGATTCTAGCGAGCTCTGCTCAGGCACCAGGCTACCCTGTGTCTGGAGGCCTGGCCTGCTGAAACGTACTCTTGCCCAGAAGCTGCTGTCTAAACTTCTCTGTCAGGGCACCAACTCCAGTGCCATCACCTGACACATAAAGATTTGATTGTATTGCTCCTCATTCAAAAATCATTACAGGGTCCCCGTTAGCTTCAACAGTGTTTCCTGGAGTAAATGCTAAGGGATGTTTGTCCCATGAGATGTTCCTTAACAGTTGGCTTCAGTGGGTGTGATTCCCTCTTGAGGATGCAACCCAAGGGCTCTGTGGAGCCTGCAGGGGCAGAATGGGTTTCCCAAGCTTGACCATGGGACACTAGCGCCCTGTCTTTTCTTCTCTTAACTCCTATTGCATATGGCAGAGTATGGGGCATAGTTTGGTAACAGTAACCCATAGCATAAAAGCCAAAGTGGTCTTGCATTCAATAGATTATAAAATCTGGTCTCAATCTAAGGTTCTCCCCATCTCACCCCCTGCATTGCTCCTCCTTCCTATGCCCCATGGATTCCCTTCCTTGGGCATGCTGTGTGTCATGGACTGAATTGTGTCTTCCTAAATTCACATGTTGAAGCCCCTAGTCCACCAGAATGTGACTGTATTTGGAGACAGGGCCTTTAAAGAGGTGATTAAGTTAAAATGAGGCCGTTAGGGTGGGCTCTAATCCAATATGATTGATGTCCTTATAAGAAGAGCCAGTTAGGACAAAAAATGAGGCAAGAGATATGCATGTACACTGAGGAAAGACCATGGGAGGATGCAGAAGAAGGTGTCAATCTGCAAGCCAAGGACAGAGGAACCAGCTCTGCAAGACCTTGATCTTGGGCTTCCAGACTTCAAAACTGGAAGTTTCTGTTGTTTAAACCCCCCAGTCTGCAGTACTCTGTGATGGCAGCCAGTGCTGATTGAGCCCCTGTGCCACCCACTGCCCCACAGGGGTACCCTAGAACCCAAAGTGTTCCATCCCATAATATGCTTATGCTCCCTTCCTCCTGGGATGCTGTGCTCTGCCACCATATTTCTCTTTGCAAAAACCAAGCAAAACCAACATAAAATAAAATATAATTCCACCTGTCTTTTAAGGCCTCACTCAAATGCCTCGTCATCCAACGAGCTCTCCCTGGTCTGTTCAGCTGAAGGGAGTCCCTCTCTGTGCCTGCGGAAGGTCAGCTCACGCGTTTCCCACTGCCCTCTGTTATGTGGAATTGTGCACAGTGACTCCTGCCACCACACTGTTGGATTTCTTGAGGCAGAACTCATCTATGTCTCAGTTCCTGGCATGGTGCCTGCCACTGAAGAGGTGCTCAATAATTATGTTCTGGACGCCATTAAAACTATGCCTCTGCAGTGCCTCGTGCCTGCCTGGTATCTTCCAGCTTTTGTGATGCCAGGACCCAGAGTGCAGTCTCCACACTGGCTCAGGGAGCTGTGGAGGGGGGAGCTTCTGAGATGGGCCTTGAAGGGTACAGAAGAGGTGAAGTCACTTCTCGGTGACAGCGAGGAGCAGAGAGCTGCCTTATCTGAGTTTCCATGTAACTGCACGTATGTTTGACCTGAACACACAGGAACTCTGGGCCTTGCACATGGAGACAGGCAGTCCGCCAGCAATATGGGGCTCCTGGCTCTGTTCTCTAGGGAAGTTTCTTCCGGCAACCCCACTGGAGCTGGGAGGCGCAGGCGACCGAGCACCAGATCGAAGCTGGAACCTCCTTCTGGAGGCCTGGGCTGGGTCAGTGTGTGTGTTGTGCCGCCAGCACCTGAGTGGCACCCGTCCCCTCACATGGGGTTTGTCAAGCGTCTCTGCATCCCTGGCCTCGGGAAGAAGGGCCCCGGTGGGAGCGGGAGCGTTGACACCCTCCCCTCTGATCTGAACACAGGTTTCTAATTTCCCAGTAATTTGCCCTTTCTCCCTCTTCCCAGTTGGCTTCCCTGTCACTTCATTTCCTGCCGTATTCTCATCTTACAGCAAAGGTGAAGAGAGTTGACCTCTCCTTGCCCCAAAGCGGAATAAAATCCAGAACAGATTTTTGTGAATAAAAATAGGCTTGAATACCCACAGCCAGCCACCTTGGGCTCCGCTCAGCCCATCTGGCCTGTGGAGTTCTCTCCCCACCCGGCCAGCCCACAGGGCAGAGCTGCGGAGGGTGGGCCGGTGGCCAGCCAGAGCCAGAGCAGGCCCAGCCGGGGGCTGTTGGACAACTTTATCCTCTCACATGGGGGACGGCTGCCTTTTCCAGTGGACTAGGGAGGAAAGATTGAAATGTCAGCACCTGGTGGGAAAAAAACAATTTCTGTTTAGAACATTTGGGAAAATTCCAAGAGGGATGCAACTGATCCCCCTCCCCCTCCTAGTATTTTCAAAGGGATTGTGGCTTCAGAGCTAGACAGACCCCAGGTCCGGTTCTTGCTCTTTTGTGGTCAGCTGTATTATCTAAGGTAAGAAACTTCATCTCTATGAACCTTAGTTTCGTCATCTGCAAAATGGAGATAAGGATGTAGATTCTGCAGGTAGGCTGGGAGGATACATGAGCAAGACAATCACAGGTGTTCAGCGCAGGGTCTATCTATGTGTCCTTCCTCCCATTCAGGTTTCAGCTTAAACGCCAGAGGGGTGTGATGCCCCCTCTAAATGCAGTGGCCAGTTCTGGTCCATCAGAGCGCCCTCTATTCCCTTTCCATGGTGGGATGTTTTCTTATTTCTTGTTTATGTGTGCTGTCTGGCTATGCGTGCTGTCTGGCTCCCGGTCCTAGCAGGAAAGACTGCCAGAGCAGGAACACTGCATTGGGGCACCCTATGATGCTGGCAGAGAGAGGGCACTCAAGAAAGATTTATTTAAAAAGTGGGTGCAGAAATTACAGCTATTATTTTTATTGTGTCAGGGTAACTTTTTCAACATATGATTTGGTGTTTTTACCTTTCCCTGTATTTTCCCAGTTTCCCATCCTTTTTCAAGCAGTTAGAGGCCCTGGGCATCCTTATCTCAGGGGGTGTTTGTGGTTAGCTTAAAAACAAAAGTTGCTGCAAGATACACTTTCCTTCCTGGATTTTATTCCCAAAGAGTCTGAAACTATTGAAAAGATAGTGCTGGTTGTCTGGAAGGTTTGAGGAGAGAAAGAAAATGAGAGAGAAGGAGACAGATTTTGGAAGAAACATGAAGACAGAGGGACTTCCCATCTTCCTTCTCCTTTAATCCAAAAAAAGATTTCTGGCAGTGGGTGGGGCAGGAGGATGGTCCGAGGGTTCTGTGAGCAGCAGCGGATGCCCACATACCCATGAGACAGCATCCTGAGAAGGTAGCCAACATGCAGAGGAGGTGGGGACCGCGCACTGGGCTTCCCTAGGGGTGAGAGTGGCACCAGAACAGCAGAATGGCCTGGTGTGATGGGCATGTGGGCAGGGCCAGCTAGGGCTGCTGACCGACAGGCCTCCCTGGCACCCTGATGCTGCTTACAACCCTGGAGAAGGCACAGCTCTAGAATGACGGAAGCTCAATCAGGGCTCAGAGTCAGAACTGAGTTCCACTCTCTGCTCTGCTTTATTTATTCAGAGTCTTCGATGATGTGCCCTGGGCTGGTGTTTGGAGAAAGGCAAGTGTGGGTATGAGCAGCAGCATTGCAGGTTCCGGACACCCCGGAGGCACAGCACCCCTGTACCTACCATCACTCCTGGGCTCAGCTTGGCACTGCTCAGCCAGGACTTCACACCTGTGATGATCAGAGGGCACTATGTATCAGGTGTACATTCCCCATCCCCCTACAAAAAGGTAGTAATTCTTTGTTTTTCTACAGCACTACTAAATCTAGTAGAAGGACTCTTTTTACCACAGTTGATGTCTAATATCTGTTGCTTTTCGCGGCTCCCTGTCCCTCACTGTCATATGAGAACCTCAGGGCTTTGTGATTCAGGAGAAGTGTGGAAGAGGCCACAGCTGCAGATGTGAATGGTGCACAGCTGTGGTTTCTTGCCCAGGCCATGTGGTTCATTAGAAGGCAGCTGGCTCCACTGTCAGCCTTGTTCCTACTCTGCCGAGCTCTGCAAGGGGTACTTCCAGGGTAGGCTCAGCCCTGATGCTCCTAGCCACATCTCCGTGGCACCTCTGGCAGGTCCAACTGCTCTCCAACTCTGTGTGCAAATGGGATAGGGACCCCTTCCACCCTCCAGCCTCAGGATCCCACTCCCTGGAGGCAGACCTCTTCTCTTTGTCCCTTAAAGAACCAGCTTCCAATTCCTTCCCAGCTAGGACAGAACCAGACAATTCTTCCTATGGCCTTGGTTTTCCAAGAGAAGGTCACCTTTGTCTCACCTGGTGATGTCTCCCCTGAAGCACAGAAGAGAATCACGAGTACTTGTTTCAAAGAAAATGACCAAAATCTGTCTTAGCTTCCCATCGCTGCTATAACAAGTCACCACAATTTGCTGGCTTCAAAAAACACACATGGATCTTACAGTTCTGTAGAAGTTTGACATGGGCTTCACTGGGCTAAAAGTAAGGTGTTGGCAAGGCTGTATTCCTTTCTAGGACTGATGTAATTCAACTCTGTGTCCCCACCCAAATCTCACATTGAACTGTCTGTGTCACCACCCAAATCTCACATTGAACTGTCTGTGTCACCACCCAAATCTCACATTGAACTGTAATTCTCAATGTTGCAGAAGGGGCCTGGTGCGAGGTGATTGGGCCATGGGGGCAGACTTCCCCCTTGCTGTTCTTGTGATAGTGAGTGAGTTCTTACAAGATCTGGTTGTTTAAAAGTGTGTAGCCACCTTGCACCTCGATCTCTCTTGCTTCTTCTCTGGCTGTGTAAGATGTGCCTGTTTCCCCTTCACTTTACGCCATGATTGTAAGTTTCCTGAGGCCTCCCCAGCCATGCTTCCTGTGCAGCCTGAGGAACTGTGAATCAATTGAAGCTCTTTTCTTTATAAATCACCCAGTCTCAGGTAGTTCTTTACAGCAATGCGAGAACAAGCTAATACAGGGATGAATTCATTCCCTTCCCTTTTTCACCTTCAAGTGCCTGTATTCCTGGGGCCCCGGCCCCTTCCTTCTTTTTTGAAGCCAGTAGCTGAGCATCACTCCAAACCGCTCATAAGGAAATGGCATTCTACTTGAGTAGCAGACAGGTGAGCCAACAAATACAATCTCATGTGGTAAGCGAAGAACAGGTTCAGGGAAGAAGCATGGTCAAAAAAGGGCCCAGTACCCTGGGTGAGAGAGGGATGGGTTCTCAGAGGGCTGCTACTCAAGCCAAGGCTTATCTTACCTCCTCTACCCAACTGTGGAAAAACTTGAAGAAGTAATTGGGTATAACTCATCTTCTTATTTTCCTTGATGCTAAATTCACTGCTTTGCAACCTGTAGACACCCAATAAATATCACTTGCAATGAACCAGTTCTCTTCTGAGTCATTTTTGTCTTCTGGGCTACAGTTGCAGATGGGAGATGAGAGAACAGTGCCAAGCTAGAGGGCTGAGCTAGCATCCTCAGGACAGAGCCCTAGCTTTAGGGCTTGGCAGATTTTTATTGTCATGCATTTTCTTCCCTTAGCAGAGATGAATTCCAGAATTGAGGCAGGAAGCTCTCTGTTTAGTTGTGGGACCTCACCAGGAATTCACCCCAGACATCAGGGAATTAGATTTAAAATCTCGCCCTTGCATTTAAGCAGGGCTTTAGGATCACTTGGGGGTTGATAATTGATAGATGTCTCCTCGTTTGAGTTTCTTCATAAAATAACATGCAGGGAGCAAGGGAATGAAATTGAGCAAGTGAAATACTTGGCAGAGTCTCAGGAAAGACGTTAAGAATAGATCTATGAGCTGTGCCCCATGGCGGGGGGGTTGCTTCTGAGTCGGGAGGTGCATGGGTTGGCGGCAGGAGGAAGCGTCATGGAGCCTCTGTTTCTGAGCCCATGTGTTGAGATTCCAGCCTCTAGTCAGAAAATTCCCCTTGCAGCTTCTGCCTGGTCCAGCCCCTGAGCCATGAGCATCTTCTGGTCCTCTTGCCTCAGATTGTTCCCCATTCACTCTTCCCATCTTCTCCTTCACACAAACTTCAGGATCAGGACCCACAGAGGTCTTGGGACCTGTAGGCTGCGGGAGAAGGCTGTGGATGTTTAAAACCACATGTCACCACCTCCTGGCAGGGGCTGGCTAAGGACAGGACTAAACTCTCAGTGGTGAGTTAATGTTTGCTGAGGGAATGAATGAAGGAATGACATAGGCAAAATGAAGCTAAATTATCCGTTAAGGTTATCTATGGTACTTTCCCTGGGCCATGATTCTCCCTCTTAGATGGGAGGAGCTCAGCTCCCTAGACCCCTCCTAAGCTCTTGCAGGGCCTGTAGCATCCAGGGATAACAGAGCAGAGGACTGGGGCAGCCTACTTTCTTTGAAGGGCCACTCTCCATGCCACCCTTTGAATCAGCACTGGTGACCAATTAGTAGAGTGTGATATGAGTAGTGGATGAAGACCTGTCTAGCATTAAAAAAAAGAGACAGAATTGAGAAATAAGGGTATTGCTTTGTAAAAATGTGCTGCTGTTTTGCACATGATAGACAGTATACTAAAAGTGGCTTGCAACGTTAAATGTATTTCTTACCATGGGTCAAGGTCAAAAAAGTTAGAGCATCCAGCATCTCAGAATTGCTGAGGGCTCTCATGCTCCCTGGGAGGAGATGCTAAGGTCTGACCAGGCAACTTCAATTGTAAAATAAAGATGCCTAACCATCCACAATGACCTCTTCCTGAGACCTTGGGGGCAAGTGGAGGAGGACTGGCTGGGAGTAAGAGGCCAGGGCTCTGAGCCTCCATCTGTGTGTACTTACTGTGAGCCTTGGGCACATTGCTAATTCCTCTTCCACCTGTTTTCTCCTCCAATGTGGAGGTTACATTGTGTCTGTGTGCACTGCTGCCCTCTGGTGGTGAGCTCTATACTTCACTGCAGCCACGGCATCCAATTTGGGTTTGTTGACTGGCTTGTGGCTGTCCAGATTTTCCCCTCTTCTTGTTCTCAAAAGGTGAGCCTTACCCCCAGGTGGAGTAGCATCCCACATGTTAAAAAAAAACTCACATGTGTTGTGAGTTTTCTGCAAAGGCCTCTGCTGTTCAAATGCGTTGCCTGGAGATACTCTCATGCGAGAATGTAAATCAAAGGGCAAGCTAATAGGGAACTACTTTGTAGCCAAAGTTTGATGAGGTCCACCTGCTTCAGGGTACGTAGCTGTATGCCAGGTACTCTTGATGCATCTGCCGGCTCTGAACAGTGTTTTATGAAGCTGTTGAGAGAGTGGGACCAGATGTTTAGAAAGAAGAGCTTGTCTTGTCACTTCCCTCAGCTTCTTCCTTTTTTGATGGTATCAGCAACTCTTTGCATTTCCAATTAAGACTCTAGTTAAATTCCCTTCAGCATTTGACTCAACCTCTTGCAAGAGGCAAGATAAGTGATTTAAAAAAAAAAAAAAAACTCTTACTTAAAGAGCATGTTGCATTGTTCTGAGATTTATTTCTAGTAAATCAAAGGGGGACTGAATGTCCCTTAGCATTGTCCTGGGATTGATAAAGGTCAATTGTCTGCAGAAATATGGACCTGAAGTCTCTCCAAGGTTAGAGGTTTCATATTCATGGTCAATGCATCTTCAAATCTCCCATAGCAAATTATCTTGGACCATTGCATTTAATAGGTGCTTAATAATTGTGTGTTAAAAGGTTGAATGGATGAATGAATGAGTAGAGTCTCAGAAATGGCCCTTCAGATGAAGTTTCCGAGCTATGAAGTAACAGTGTACAGTGCACCATGCATGAAGCACATCGGGCAAGGGAACTCCACTGTTACATGGTAGGATTGGTTGGCCTGGAATCAAGTCAGGATATTTAATCAATGAGGTTGAAAGACCCAAGTAAACATTTAGCAAAACTGGAGTCAAAGCACATTTCAAAACAATCATTTAGACTGTTAAGCTGCTATCTTATAGAGTTGGGGGCCCAAAGTAGGGAGTGTTTTATTTTTAAACAACTTGCTTCCCTTCTGACTTCAAGAATCCCCATGATGGTTTGGTTTTGAGGACATTACCAGTCAACCGCAGCCAAGAAGTGATTAGCAAATGCCTGCTCCACAGACGTGGGTCTGACTTCTGGGCTAAGTTCAAAGCAGAGCTCTTAGTTTAATAATGATACAGGATTCACTTTCCTTGAAAACTTCCTATGCTGGAACCATTTTGAGAAAAACAGAAATAATCATGGAAATTTGGGGGCACAAATGAAGACAGGGAGGAAACATTACATGCATATCTGAGTACTTGTCTACAACCCTCACAATGCATCCTGGAGAAGATGTCCCTCCCTTATTCTCTTGATAGGAAATGGCCACTGTTTATAATGAGGCAGAACAAAGCAGGGGCTTACTTCCCCCCCGATGCCAATCAATATGCTGAGAGCTGGCTCCAGTGCTCCCAGAGCCATGGATCAGTGTTACTGCCTTGAAAATCGCTTATTGCTGTGTCATTTAAAGGAATCTGATGAAAGGTTTGAAAGAAATGCTATAATTCTACAAAATATCTTCAAGTGGCATTTCCCAAAACCATGGACAAGTACTGATAGTGTTTTGTGAAATGATTTTAGCCAAAACATAGATAAATATTTTTATTTTAATGCTTATGTATTTAACACATATTACAAATATATACAATTAGCATACCTTACCTGTGATTTCATGAATAATTTTTCTTAGGAAAAGACTAAATAATCTAAGTAAAAATAATACAAAACAAAATAGAAAAGACAAGAAAAGAAGGCATTTTAACTTAAAACCAATAATAGTAGATAGTAAAAACTGTGAAGCTCGTGCTTAAACAACGTGGTTCGGGGAACAGACTCAAAGTGTGTGTTAAGTTTTTGCACTACTATTAGGAGAAACACTGCAGTATAATTCTGCAGTGATTTTTGGAACAAATATTCAAAACTACCACCTAGGGAAAGCTCAGGCACTGTGGTTGTACAGGGAGGAAGCTTTGGGGCCATGGCCACTCTCTTCTTTTCACAGGGAACGTTTTGACAACGGAGTCTTTCTAGTGCCAAGTCTCTGTGCTCCACCAGTGAAGACCGTAGCAGGCAATGATGACTGTGCTTGGAGTCTCCACACTGGAAAGTGGGCTTTTTCCCTGACTTGAGCCCAGCAGCCATCAGAGGGAAGTGGACATCCCCAACGCCATCCCCTCTGCCCACCTGCCGGAGTGTGACTTCCCACCAGTGCCATCAAACCCCCACAGTGCTTCAGAGTGTAGGCCAAGCTAGCAGGTAAGTTTCCCATGAACTCAGGCTCCTCTACCATCTGGGTATGCAGGCTAGAGCATGAGCCCCCACTGCACCTCTTTCAGCATTAAGATATTTCTGAGGCTTTCCTGATAGAGAAGTGGCCTGGGAAGGCATTTAAGAAGACAGCTTAACTGTCCAGGTTCCTTTTCTGTTGACCCTCACCCTGAATCTTGAATCTTGACTAGGGAATTCACCCCTGGCCTTGTGCTGGACTCTTTAGGGACAGAGGTGGGACATGAGATGTTGGCGCTGGGGGAAGCAAGTCTCATCTCACCGAGTGCTCTCCTAGAGAAGGAGCTCAAACAGTGCCCAGAGCTGGTGCTGGGATGCCATTTGGTGGTCTGGAAGTTGCTGATTGCTTTCTCTGTCACAAAGCCTTTGATTTCCACCGGCTTATGTGTACACATGTGGGTATTCTTGGTGGCCTGGCCATTGAGCATAATTAAAAGAAATGATTGGCTTTCTCTTGATGCAAACATCTGGTTTTACTTGAAACAAGATGACTTAGCTGTTTCAGAAACATTCTTGTAACCCTGGATTCACATTTTCTTCTTAAAATATATATTTTCTCTGTTCGGGCAGTATGTTAATGTAAACACTCCTTGTAACTGACAACCGACAGTTTCAGAAGTACGTGGGGCTCCAAGCACCGGAGGAACCGCAAGAATGATTGCGTTTTTGATTTGATCACTGGAAATCTGTTTCAACAGTCACTCTGATTTAAACAATTACTCTGATTTATACTCCAAATGCTGTAATTTGCAGAAAATGTAACCATGTGAGGACATTTTTGTAGAGTATGTCTTGGCAACTTTGTGTTGTTGTGATGTCATTCACTTCAGTTTTAAGGAAGCACAGAGGAAAGAAAAGAAGGAAAACAGCGTCCTTTTTGATGTGCTTTCCTGACCGCCAGGGAAAATGTTCTCAAGTCTTCCTGGCTTACCATTCCTTACCGCTCCCAGCCCACAAGGCCAACACTGAAGGGCTATGAATGACATTGAGGAGAGAAGCGAGAGCCAAGATTTCCTGAAGGCCAAAGAATTAAGTCCAAGAGTGGGGGCAGCTGGTTTTGTTGTCCTGTCTGCTGTCTCTACAGTTAAGACAGGGTAGGTGGGATGCCAGCTCTTGCATCATTCATCAAAGCCCAGGTTTGCAGAGCTGGAAGTCTAGTGGAGAGTGTGAGGTTTAATACCTTCATTGCCTAGAAAGAAAGATCCAGGTAGGTTAAAGAACACTGCAAAGGTTCTAGAGCAAGTTAGTATTAGAGTCAAGGAAGCAACCAGGGCTCTGGTTTTTTGATTCTTTGCAAGATTGTACCTGTTGACATGTAACTGCAGGTTGGTCCCACATTATGAACAGAGAAGGTATCTCAGCAGAATAAGAACAAAAAGTCCTAAGTCAAAATAATTAGGTAGTACACATTTTATAGTTTGCAGCTTAAGGGAGCTAGCATTCCAAGTATTAGTTCCATTTATACCCTGCCCTCCTCCAGTGAATCCAGCCAGGCTAATGCTGCTGGGGAAAGAGCCATGAGGGCACAGAAGGCACTTCTGCCTCTTTGGGAGCAGAACGCCTCTGTGAATGGTCCCATAATTCTGAGTGGCAGCGGGGTGCTCAGCCCCTCTGATCACATCTTCCTAGACCATGTGTCTTCAACTTAGTCCCAGCCCCAGAGAACCAAAAAGAGGTTCTTCTATTTAAAGTTTATCTCCTTAACATCTGTGTGCTTCAGTTAGTTTTGCAGTATCTCCTTAAAATTGACTTATTTCTGCCCATTGCTGAGGAGCGGTGCGCTGTTTCAAGTCCCAGCTCCACCTGTGGTTTGTTGTGTGAACAAGAAGGCATCAGGTTTCTTTGCTGTGCTTCAGTGCGCCCGTCAGTTAAATGAGGGACAAGAGCAGAAAGTGCCAAAATCTCTTCCAGTTTCATCACTCTTGGAATCTGTGGCTCTATCATTTTGTGTATTTGTGTTTCTTATTTAAAAAGTGATACAGGCTCATGGTGACAATTTTTTCCACTTGAACCTCATATTTTGGGGACGTGAAGTTTTTCATGTGCATTGCCCCTTTCAGAGAGCTTTGGGGTGCAGGGACACTCAGCCACAGGTGTGCCCCATAGCCTGGCACTCCTCCCTGGACTGTCCTGAACAACACTCTAATACCAAGGTGGGTGTCTTTCATGCTTCTGAATGATGGGCTCCTGCTAAATGATGGGAAGCCCATTAATTCCTCAGCGAACACAGAACATGTGACAGGCGGCACTCAAAAATTGTTTGTTGGCCAGGTGCGGTGGCTCACACCTGTAATCCAAGCACTTTGGGAGGCTGAGTTGTGTGGATCACCTGAAGTCAGGAGTTCAAGACCAGTCTGGCCAACATGGTGAAATCCCATCTCTACTAAAAATACAAAATTTAGCCGGGCATGGTGGCTTGTGCCTGTAGTCCCAGCTACTTGGGAGGATGAGATATGAGAGTCGCTTGAACCTGTGAGGCAGAGGTTGCAGTGAGCCGAGATCACGCCACTGCACTCCAGCCTGGGTGTCAGAGCGAGATCGTGTCTCAAAAAAAAAAAAATTGTTTTTTGCTAAACAGCACTGGATTGGACATTTGACTAATGTGTCATGCAACAATAAGTTTATCCATGCTAACCACACTGAAAAAAGGCATGGTTCTTTCTTTATTTTCCTAAAACTGATCTGATATTCCACATGAACTCCTACTCACTGGGTAATGGGGCAAAACAAAACTAAAGTTTGGTTCAGTTCAATAATTCCAAATTGATTCCTTTATTGAAGACTTTCTTTAGCTAAATGCCCTGTCCTTCAGCCCTCCTCCCTTGCCCTTTATCTTACCCCACATGGCATTTTGGTGTGTGAGGAGGGAGGAACATGAGGCATTGGTGAGCTTCGGTTTCCAAGGCAGTGTCCCTTAGCCTGGCCACTGCTTGCCTAGCTCGCTTTGGTGGCCGAGGCCAGCAGTTGGCAAAGCTTGCAATTTTTACCTCTCTTTTCCTGGTTGTCCTCCCTGTCTGACTCAGGGTCTGCTGCCTTCCTCATCCAGCTCCAACCTAAGAGGTCCACCTGTGTGGTTACTGCTGCAGGGTCACTGTGCCACTTGCCATGTGGCCCACACAGACTCTCTGGCTCCCAACTCGGTTGCCATAGAATCCCCCCGTGAAGGCCTGCAAGAAAGTCTCGGTCCCAGACATGCTACAAGGAAACATGGAGGCTCAGAGAAGATAACCCACATTTCTGGGCTTCCCTTAGCGCTAGCACACAGCACAAGATAGATTGAATTTGATACAGTTGCCACCATGTTGGTGACCCAGTAGACTGCAAGGAACTTAATCCAGAATTTGCAATGGGAAATAAGGCAAAAGCCTCTTCTTTTTGGCCTTTCTCTCCAAATTTCCAACATATTAGAACCTGCCAATCTCAGCCCCGGATTTTTCTGCATACTCCTCCTTCTGTCTCTGGTCCTTCTGGACAAGGCGGATGGATTTCTGGCATTTATTTTCCTCCACGTAAATTCTCCCCCTGAAATGGGCAGCAAGTCTCGCAGCCTATTTATGTTACAAAAAAAGTTGCATGATCTGTTTTTTCAATGGATGTGTAGATCACTCTTTTACATTTATACTTATCCCCTGCCTAAATCTCTACTCAGAAATCCAGATTTGAACATCTAATTGCCTTCTCAACCTTTCCACTTGATGTCTAATAGGAACTGCAACCTCAACATCACCAAATCAGACTACTTTGCTTTGCTGTCCCTGCAACCCCATAGCCTCCCTCTGCTCCAGGCATTTTTCAACCTTGGTGAATGGCATTGTCATCTACTTAGTTGCTCAGGCCAAAAACTGAAGAATCATCCTTAACTCCTCTCTTTCTTTCACATCTCACATCCAGTTCATCAGCACATCCCATTGGCTCTAACTTCAAAACATATCGTGAGTCCAGAACACTTCTCACCATACTCACAGTTAGCATCTTATTCCAAGCTACCACCTCTGTCACTTGGACCACAGCTGTGGCCTTTTAACTGGGATTCCTACTTCTTCTTTTGTCCCCATAGAGCAGAGGTTCTCATCCAGGAGCATTTTGCCCCCCAAGAACCATTTGGCAATGTCTGGAAACATTTTTGGCTGTCACTACTGAAGAAAAGGGGGAGAAAGGCAATTGACATCTAATGGATAGAAGCCAGGGACGCTGCTGAAAATTCTGCAATGGGCAGGACAGGGACAGCCCGTCACAACAGAGAATTAACTGGCCCAAAAGCTCAATAGTACCGAGCAACTGCCATGGAACTTATTTTCCCAACACAGTAGCCAGGGTGATTTTTCTTTCTAATTTTTTATTTTATTTCATTTTATTTTAAGATGGGGTCTCGCTCTGTCACCCAGGCTGGAGTGCAGTGGGGTGATCATAGCTCACTGCAGCCTTGAACTCCTGGGCTCAAGTGATCTTCCTCAGCCCCCCAAGTAGCTGGGACTACAGGCATGCACCACCATGTCCAGCTAATTTTTATTTTAATGTTTCCGTCGAAATGGGGTCTCACTGTGTTGCCCAGGCTGGTCTCAAACTCTTGGTCTTCTGAAGTGTAAATTAGATTGTGTCATTCCCATGCTTGAAGGAATAAAGCTTTCTCTTGCAATACTAATACAACTGAAATTATTTGCTGGGTACAAGGCCTTACAGGACCCACCCCCATCAACTTCTGTTTTCTACTTCTCCATTCTGCTCATTCACAATATTCCAGCAGCACCGGTCCTTCTTCTCCTCTCTAATTGCCCAAACTTCTTCCTGTCTCCAGGCCTTTGCACTTGCTGCTACTTCTGCCTGGAACACTGTCCTCCAGGCCTTTGCCTGGTTTCTGTCTTATAACTCTGGTCCCAGGTCAAACATCGCCCTGTCAATGAGTCTTTCTGACCTTCCTATATTAATCAGCCCCTTCTGCCTGTTTCTCTGAAACATACACACCTACCACATGACCCAATTTTATCTTCCTCATAGCATTTGTCGATAGCTAAGATTATCTTACTTTTGATTGTTTGTGGTTTGTCTTTCTCCCTTAAGTTTTTTGAGAATAAGACTCTTCTTTTGGAATAGTACAGAGAAGGGGCTTAATAAATATTGCTGGCTGCTTGACTGATTGGTTGTTAATATGTTGAATAGAAGCTAAAGTGATTTAGCACATCCTTTCTCTCTTGTCAATGCCTTGCTTTCAGGCTGATTATTTTACTGTGAAATCGTATTTCAATAATATGAGCTGAATATTAACCCTCTATGCATTCCTGTTCTAGCAATGCTAGGCACCCTGACCCCATCCCACCCAACAAATACATGCCTTAGTTGGCTAAGAAATAGATCATGTACAGGAAAATGCAAAAGAATAAAAATAGTTTTAAATTGTTATTTTTCAAAATAGTGCTCTGTTACAAGTGGAAACATACAAAGTGTTCATTTATTATGAAATGTAAAGAAAACATCACTTCCTGCAAGAGGCAAACCCCACTCTCCCTTCTCTTCTCCCAGTGGGTGACAGGACCTGGCTTAGCTGCTTGGCCTGTTTGCACTGGCCCTGGTAACTGAAAGATAGTCAGCTGCCTGCTTCCCTGTGGCGCAGACATTACCTAAGGTTATCTCTGTACTGGTGAACAGGATTTATTTTCTTGCAAGTTAGCTGAGAAGACTAAATGCAGAAATGCCGGATTCTCAGGAACCATTTCAACGAACCAGCACTCCTTTGCCAGTGTAGAAGCATCCTGAGGTTTCACCCACGCAACTAGGCAAGGCTGGGTGAGTGTGCTTTTTGTGCGTAAGTGTGTATCACAGTGAGTGTGTGTGTACAGGTCTGTATGTATGCCTCAGGTGTATATCTGTGTCTACAAATATACCCCAGAGGCCAAAGATTGAAAATGGGAAAGGTCATTTTGTGGATCACCCAGGGAAGGGCAGTGGGAGGAGCTCATTTCACAAATCTAGTGTTGGTCATGTGAACTAATATCATGGGGATAGGCCGCAGTTATTTGCAGCTTTTTATAATTTATTTGCAAACGACCTAGGTTCAAATCCATTTTTTTTGTTTGTTTTAGAAGAGCTAGGCCGGGCGCGGTGGCTCACGCCTGTAATCCCAGCACTTTGGGAGGCCGAGGCGGGCGGATCACGAGGTCAGGAGATCGAGACCATCCCGACTAAAACGGTGAAACCCCGTCTCTACTAAAAATACAAAAAATTAGCCGGGCGTAGTGGCGGGCGCCTGTAGTCCCAGCTACTTGGGAGGCTGAGGCAGGAGAATGGCGTGAACCCAGGAGGCGGAGCTTGCAGTGAGCCGAGATCCCGCCACTGCACTCCAGCCTGGGCGACAGAGCGAGACTCCGTCTCAAAAACAAAAAAAAAAAAAAAAAGAAGAGCTAATGAGTTTTTCTGAGCCTCAGTTTCCTGATCTGAAAATTATCATTGAGAATTTATTTATAATGGTCCCAGAACTATCAAAAGCTTAGTGCATACCACCATCAGATGCCTCCCCATGTCCTGCCCTTCCTGGCTGAGAAGCGTCTGTGTTTTGCTGATAGTTCTGGGGTCTTTATTATCCAGACTGGGGAGTGTGGGTGAGGGCAAAACGTGGAGGCTCAGAGGATTTCTATTACAAACGGCTGAAGAACAAGGACAAAGCCAGAGGGGGAAGGTGGATGGGAGAAGGAGCCAAGACAGGCTCAGTTGGAGGCACTCTTCTTGCCACTAGGGATGAGGCAAGAGAGAGGATTTGGGGGCATCTGCCAAGATGTGAGACACAATAATAGAGGGAAATAGAAGAAGATGATTTCTAAAAGATTTTCTACGTGTTAGGATGGTGACACCACTTAGGTATTTCCTCGAGGGACTGCAATGCTGATTAATGTTATTCTCCTATTACTTTGGCAGCCAGACCAAGGTTTCTTTCCTGAGGCCTTTTACGAGAGGCCTCAGAAAACCAGACTTTATTCAAGTTAGAACAAATTTGTGCTGTTGTCGTGAGGGTTATATATGGATTAAGTGCTATTTTGTGTGTAAATCTTTTGCTAAGGGTCTGGTAAACATTAATCACTAAATAAAATGACAATTTTTATTGTACAAACTACAATTAGGATGCTAATCCCTGTGTTGTTTCTCAAAAGACCAACTTGAGTCTTAAGAGTGCACACTGTCCTTTATTTATTTAACACTTTCTGTTTGCCACTTATTTAGTAACTGTTTTTTCTGGTGTGGATTTTCCCTCAGCATCTCCCACCCCTGGTCCTGTTGGCTCACAGCTGCTCATGAATCTAAGACTGACTTCTCAAGGTCGTCTTGAGATGCAGAGAAATGAATACCTAGAGTTGAACCCCAGTTCCACCAGTTGGCAGCTGGTCACCTTGAGCCAGTTACTGAATCTTTGTGCCTCAACTTACTCATCTTTGAAATGGGAATATTGATGATCTCTGCTTCATAAAGATGCTATGAGCTTAAATGAGTTAATATTTGATTCTGCCTGTCATGTAGTGATTGCTATGTAAGGTTTGCAGGGGTGATGATGGCAAGGTGATGAGGAAGATGAAGATAATTCTTTTCTCTTGTGCCTGGCAGCATTTAGCACAGGCCTGGGCACAGAGCTGTTCTGAAAAGATATGCAAAGCCTAGGAGGACCACTGGGAGGCCCATATAATGCTGAACTGATTCACATGGTAAAATTCCCAACAACACAAGGGACTCTTTCCATTTGGCTATGAACTCTCATTCCTTCCTGGGAGTAGGCTGCCTATGTTATTGTGAGAATAACTAAAATATCTCTCAATCCAAATATTTAGAAGTTGTTGACCAGGACGGTCAAAGGGCTGGGCAAGAATGGTTATGTCCTACTGCCAGGCTCTGTGTCCTGAGAACAGTGGTCAGAGCTAGCTTGCCAGGTTTCCTTGGTGGGGGAAAATTAAAAAATTACAAAAAGGCACTCCATTCCTGTGTCAGAAGGGGACTGGGCCCTGCTGGGGTGGACAGGGTGGGAGGAAATAAGCAGGGGACCCACAGAGGGAGGTTGGAGCCCCCCAGAACACTTTTTGGTCTTGAATTAAAGCAAGCTTCATCTAAATTCTTATTTTCTTCTTCAACAGACTTTTCCTAAATGTTGTGGATTTTTGACTCAGGGATTTGCTGGGTGGCTGGTGACCTTGTGGGAGAAAAGAAAGCATTCGGAGCATCTAGGCAAGAAGACGCTAGAGTAAGACCCAGGCCTGAGGCTGAGAACTACAGTGGCCTTGCCCCAGGAAGGCTGTGTTCTGGTTCTTAGCCCCACAACAGCTGACTGTAGAGAGGATCTGGCCTGTCAACAGTCTTTGGGGGGACACAGAGTTCTAACTAACACTGATCTGCATTGACTAGAGAATTTATGTGTATTGTTTGACTTCAGCTCTCTCCGGGGAGCCAACACCCCTGCTATGGTCCAGTGACCCCAGCTACTTTGCTCAGAATTCCATTAGGGACTTTAACTTCTATGGAGTTAAGGTCTGCTATGGAGGGAAGATCTGAGGTATGTTCCTGGGAATGGCTGGGTATAATCTCAACCTTAGACAAAATGGGTCACAAAGGAAATCCCAGAAAGAGGGATGAGAGAATTAAAAAAAAAAAAATCTCACATTCACAGGAAAGGCCAGGTGAAATGTATGGGACCGGAGGGAGGAGGAGATCGATGCTGACTTTTCTGAAGCAGAGTCTCTGGTCTGGCTAGTTGAATGCAGCTTTGATCCCACAGACAGTGAACAGGCAGGAGACATCCAACATTAAGTGCAATGAATCACATAACTTCATTCTAAAATCCAGGGGACCCTTTCTTGGCAAATGTGGAGGCTCTGTCCTAAGGGGTCAGTGTGAGCCAACCTTAAGAATACAGTTTCTGGCTGGGCGCGGTGGCTCACGCCTTTAATCCCAGCATTTTGGAGGCCGAGGCAGGTGGATCACCCAAGATTGGGAGTTCAAGACCAGCCTGGCCAACATGGCAAAACCACATCTCCACTAAAATTATAAAAATTAGCTAGGTGTGGTGGTGCATGCCTGTAATCCCAGTTACTTGGGAGGCTGAAGCACGAGAATCCCTGGAACTTGGGGGGTGGAGGTTGGAGTGAGCTGAAATGGCACCACTGCACTCCAGCCTGGGCTACAGAGTGAGACTCTGTCTCAGAAAAAAAAAAAAAAAAAGAAGAAGAAGAAGAAAAGAAAAGAATATAGTGTTCCTGGCTGTGACAGGGCCCTACAAGCTGCTCTCCAGAGTGTTGTAGAGCTTTTGTTGGTATGGTTGGATATCTGTGGCATTTTGTGATTGACAATGATCCTGCTTGAGTAGTTTCCCATGGTGGCAGCAAGATATGTATACAGTGAGGAGTGGTCACAAATGCCCAGGGGAGAAGTACAGGCTAAGCTGTGCCAGAGGTTCTCAAAATTTAAATTTTAAATGTGACTCAAAACAACAACTATTTGTTTACCTCATGATTCTGTGGATCAGCAATTTGGGCTGGGATTATCTGGGCAGAGCTCTGCTTGGTAGATTCTGGTTGGGGGCTCCCATGCATCTACAATCAGAGCCTGAGCTGGTTGTCTAAAATGGCTCTGTGGGATGGCTCGACTCTGTTCCATGTGGTCTGTCATCCTCCATCAGGCAAATCTAGACTTTATTAAATTACAGTGGTGGTAGAATCCCAAGAGAGCAGTTGGAAACGTGCAAAGACTCTTGAAGCCCAGGCTTGGAACTTGGATAACGTCACACTCTCTGCATTCTATTATCCAAATCAAACCACGAAGTCAAGAAGTACTTCTCGATGGGAGAGGCTGCAAAGAATTGTGGCAATTTTTTTGCAATCGATCACAGGTGTCCTCTGTGCTTTTGTTAGCTTTAAGGATTTACTTCCAGCCTTTTGAAGTCCATCGAATCATTCATGAAAGGAAAATCTGAGAAGAACCCCAGTGTTTGAGAGATTATAAGAATTCCTTTCTAATGTCAAAAATTTCCAAGACCCTTAGAATAGTTCATGGATTTCTACATGAACTCTAGAACCATACTCCTAGAGTTTGAAAAATTACTTAATAACTAAAAGTTCCTATACATTTGAGGAAGTTTTGAAATAAATTTGTATCTTTTAATCATAACATCATCAGTATGCATTAAAAGTAGTAGTTAACATTTATATGAAATAAGATATATAAGGCTACAGGCATAGATTAATGTGCAAATAGCCTCATGGGCCGTTTGTATTAATAATAGCTCTGAGATATAAGATCCAGAGCTCATAGGGTGGGAACCACTGTTCTAAACCAAATGAAGAACTGGCCTAATGTCATTGAATTTTATGCATCCTTGTCCCCTTGGGCCATGGACACTTACATGTACTTTCCATTTGTGGAGACTGCACTAGAAACTGCCCTGGGTCCTTTATATCCACTCTCTTGACTCCCAAACCATCTTTCCATCAAACCAACCAGTGAGGTCTGACATTCCACTATGGAAAAGTCATATCTCAAGTTTACAATTTCCAGGGTTAAGGTGCAATTCTCCTGGGGGTGCAAGGGCACAGTGTGTGGTCACTACTGGTGGCTTACTCTGCAACCCCTCACTAGAGTAGGAAGGTGGAAGCAGCTCTACTTGGCCACTGAACAGTGGTGGGAGACTGGAAGTCCTCTCCCCAACTCTGGGCTTCTGTTTTCTTGCAAAGAAATGAGAATTGAAAAGGCCCTTTTAGGAAGATCAAGGCTGAAATGAGTGGCAATAAAGAGAAGTGTTTTCCAGGCCAGGCACAAATAAAAACTAGTTGTCTCTTTCTCCTTCATCTTTCTATTTGATCTTATTGCTCTTCCCCTCCCTAATCTCCTGGCAGTGGTATAGCCACCTCCTCAGTTGGAAAAACATTGACTCTGAGAGTCATATCCCTTGAAAAACCTTGGCTGGCACATCGGTGCTTCACATTTGGGGATTTGACTGTGGGTTTAATGCACTAGGAACCTGCAATTCCAGGACAGAGCATCCTAGTGAGTGCCTAGGGCCTAGTCACCCTGTGGCACAGCCTCCTCAGATATGCAGGGTGAAGCAGAGGCAGAAGACCACAGGAAAGGAGCCAGGAAGACAGCAGGAAAGAGCTGAGGTCTCTGTTTCCATGGGCGTTCCCCTTCTCAGCTGTGTGTCTTGGCGGCCAAGCTACGCTTCTGCTCTTTGATGCCATGAAATACTTTGTTACTGTCCAAATCATCTCCCTTTTGACTTAGGGCCAGTTTGAGTGGAGTTGCTGTTGTTTTTTTTTTTCCTGGCAATCTTGATAAAGACACATTAACTTAACAAATTAAGACATATTCATTTGACATTTGTGCGTGCCAGGCTCTGGCAGCTGCAACGTTGAAGCCATGGCCTCTGCTCTCCTGAAATAAAGTCTAGTACAGGAGGCCAACACATGAACAGATAATTACAGTGTAGTGTGAAAGTGTGGCATATGGGAGTCATGGATTGATGAAGAGAAGAAAGCACGTAGACAGGAAAGGAGGAGTCAGACAGCTAGGTTTGATGGGCCACCAGGAGTTCAACAGAAGCAGTAAGATCACAAACAAGGAGCTGGGAAACAGCAGTTCTCAGAACTGACAGATATGGAGGTTGGGTATTGCCCTGGTGTAGATGAAGGCAAGTGAAGGTGTTGAGAAGCTGAGGCCAGGTTGGCAGAGCTAGGTGGTCCAGAACTGCTCAGAGAAGCTTCCCAAGCTTGCTCTTGGCTTGTGACTGCTGAATTACAGAGATCGGAACAGGTGTGATTTCATTTCCCATATTTTCAGCAAAGGCATACAATTGAACAGTGTTCTTATCTGAACTGACAAAAGACCATCACCAATTTATATAATAGCACCCTTTAAAACATTCCTGCCAAATGTTCTCAATATTGAACAAAAAGATTTTGGAATCAAAGCAAGGTAGAAACAGGCCTCTTTCATAAATGGTTTCCATCTTTGCTGCTTCACCTCCACCACTCACAGATATCCCTCGCTTTATAGGCAAAGACAAATGTTTGGAAACAAAAATGAAAAATGGTAAAAATGTTCCTATGTTGGGACACTGTCATCATCCAACCACGTGACTTGGCCAGCATGCTGTCAGATGTTTAGGGCAGCAGTGGGACAAGCTCTGGAGGCTGCAGAGTGTGTGTCCCCAGGTAAGCAACCACACTTCCCAAAGTATGAGGCTGTTATGAAGACCTGGGAAATGAATCCCCTCCAGCCCCCCTCGGAGAGTCCCATTTCTAATGCCACCTCTGTCAGCCAAACTCATGTTAGCATCAGTTTATCATAAAATATGGAGCAGCCTGTAACTTTCATTTTTCTCTTTCAACTGGGATATTAAAAGAGGCTTTAACATTTCCTCCAAAAATGCATTTCAGAGTTCACATTTCCTCCCGAGGGCCTGCTGTGAATGAAGACTCCTCATTTCAAGCTTGATTTAATCCAGGAAGTGCCTGGGAATCAGATAATGCCAGCAACAACCAGCAAGCTAAAAGAAGCTGCTCTAAAGGGCTTCTTTGCTGCATTTCTGCTCTAAAGGGCTTCTTCCTTGTGCATTTAAGTCAGGGGGTGGTCATCTATAGAATGGTTACCTCCTGCTGTCATCTGTATACCCTTTATTCCTACTGCCACCACCGCCTGTGGCACCATTCCCACCATCACATCAGGATCATCACCACCGTGGACTCTATAGTCCTCCCTCTGTGACCTGCCCCATCATGGAAGGCTAATTAACACGAAGGACACACCATCTGCAGGTCTGCATCCTTCCTCTCCCCCTCATTCTCCTGCAGAAACAGAAGCAGCAGAGGTTGGTCTAGAAACTCCCTGGGGTACCACATAGAATGAGCTTCCAGATCCTGTCCCCCTGGGAAGGGGATACAGGTTAAGAAGCTGCACAACCCACCTTGCAAATAGAGGCTGATCAGCACTATAAATCCTTGAATACAGCAGCTTCTTGTTCGTTGGGAGTCATGAGTACTGAACCCACATTTCCTGGATCAAAAATGGAGTGACATATGTTCATTGATGGGGCCAATAGGACAGGGTGTTTAAATTTCAGCTTTCCTGGAAAATCCAGGATGTTAGGATATTGAGGAGAAGGCCAAGTACAGTGAGTTCTGCTCCCAAGAAGACCATGGTGGTTGCAGGCCTACGTGTGACTTCTCAGCTTTTGGATCTGGGTAAGTTACTGGTGGCAGACCCTCTAGAGACTATTCAGAGGAGGCACCAGGCTGACTTCCTATTTCCTGTTGGAAATAAAGCTGTTTAGCTCTTGGTGTTTTAGACATGAAGTCCTTGCCCATGCCTATGTCCTGAATGGTATTGCCTAGGTTTTCTTCTAGGGATTTTATGGTTTTAGGTCTAACATTTAAGTCTTTAATCCATCTTGAATTAATTTTTGTATAAGGTGTAAGGAAGGGGTCCAGTTTCAGCTTTCTACATATGGCTAGCCAGTTTTCCCAGCATGATTTATTAAACAGGAAATCCTTTCCCCATTTCTTGTTTTTGTCAGGTTTGTCAAAGATCAGATAGTCATAGATGTGTGGCATTATTTCTGAGGGCTCTGTTCTGGTCCATTGGTCTATATCTCTGTTTTGGTACAAGTACCATGCTGTTTTGGTTACTGTAGCCTTGTAGTATAGTTTGAAGTCAGGTAGCATGATGCCTCCAGCTTTGTTCTTTTTGCTTAGGATTGACTTGGCAATGCGGACTCTTTTTTGGTTCCATATGAACTTTAAAGTAGTTTTTTCCAATTCTGTGAAGAAAGTCATTGGTAGCTTGATGGGGATGGCATTGAATCTATAAATTACCTTGGGCAGTATGGCCATTTTCATGATATTAATTCTTCCTATCCATGAGCATGGAATGTTCTTCCATTTGTTTGTATCCTCTTTTATTTCCTTGAGCAGTGGTTTGTAGTTCTCCTTGAAGAGGTCCTTCACATCCCTTGTAAGTTGGATTCCTAGGTATTTTATTCTCTTTGAAGCAATTGTGAATAGGAGTTCACTCATGATTTAGCTCTCTGTTTGTCTGTTATTGGTGTATAAGAATGCTTGTGATTTTTGCACATTGATTTTGTATCCTGAGACTTTGCTGAAGTTGCTTATCAGCTTAAGGAGATTTTGGGCTGAGATGACGGGGTTTTCTAGATATACAATCATGTCATCTGCAAACAGGGACAATTTGACTTCCTCTTTTCCGAATTGAATGGCCTTTATTTCCTTCTCCTGCCTGATTGCCCTGGCCAGAACTTCCAACACTATGTTAAATAGGAGTGGTGAGAGAGGGCATCCCTGTCTTGTGCCAGTTTTCAAAGGGAATGCTTCCAGTTTTTGCCCATTCAGTATGATATTTGTCCAACAATGATGGACTGGATTAAGAAAATGTGGCACATATACACCATGGAATACTATGCAGCCATAAAAAATGATGAGTTCATGTCCTTTGTAGGGACATGGATGAAGCTGGAAACCATCATTCTCAGCAAACTATCACAAGGACAAAAAAACAAACACCGCATGTTCTCACTCATAGGTGGGAATTGAACAATGAGAACACCTGGACACAGGAAGGGGAACATCACACCCCGGGGCCTGTTGTGGGTTGGGGCTGGGGGAGGGATAGCATTAGGAGAAATACCTAATATAAATGACGAGTTAATGGGTGCAGCACACCAACATGGCACATGTATACATATGTAACAAACCTGCACATTGTGCACATGTACCCTAAAACTTAAAGTATATATATATATAAAAAAAGCTGTTCAGCTCATAGAGACGGAGTCCTGCCCAGGGAGATGGCGAGATTGTGTCCCTCTGAAGCAGTAGTTCTCAATCAAGGGATTTTGTTCCCCAGGAAACATTTGGCAATGCCTAGAGACATTTTTAGTTTTCACTATTGGCAAAGAGATGCTGCCAGCCTCAGAGGCTGGGGATGCTGCTAAACATTCTAGAATGGACAGGACAATAGGAAACTATCCAGCCCCAAAAAGTAAAACCAGGGGAGGGAGACTGAGGCAGTATAGCCAAGGCCTTGGAACAGCGTAATTAGACAGCCAGCTTTGAAAATGGGAAGGAATTTACATAGAAAGAAGGCGGGCAAATAATGAAGTTATGACAGAACCCTGTTTTTATAAGTGCCTGAAGGGCAGCTGGAAGGGACCTGGGTCTGGCCTCTGTGGGACATTAAGAGGGCATGAGTGTAATCAGCTTCCAGTGAGGTCTCTATCAAATGAGGGCCTGGACTCTGACTGATGCCTGGAAAGTTAGCCTCAAGGAGAGCTTTCCTCTCATCAAAAAGTCAAGTGGCTGGAAGAGATGGCTTCTGGCACTACACACCCAGGAGCTGGCTATTTTCGAGAGTAGGAGGTATGTGGGAGAAGACTTGGGGATTTGGGTCTGCATGCATGAATAAATACCAGGTCTGTACCCTGTACCCCCAGATCTCAGAGCCTGGCAGAGCACACACCCCATGGCAGATATTCTCAACTTGGCCAAGACAATGCAGCCCCTGCTGTGCCCTTCTTCTGAGCCACACAGACCCAGTGAAGGACTGGGTGTTGCAAAGGGCAGTTTCCCATTTCCTGGGCTTGGCCTTATACCTGGACAAGGAAAGGAGTCACCTTGTCATATGGTGTCAGTAGATGTAGAGTGCCCTGCTCCCACATCTGCCCTTCTCTTTGCTGCCTGAAAACCCTCTCCTACTCTAGGGAGAGTCAATGTCAGAATGAAGACCCCTGGGAAAGACCCCAGTAGCTTATCCCTCCTCTGTTTCTGGCTACACCTCTTGGGTGAGATTTGAGAACACTGGCCCCTGAGGAATGTTATGTGGGCTCAGATTGTGAACTCTTTGAGTACAAGGTAGGGACTCGGTGTTATTTCACTTTGTATCTCCAAGCCCAGTGAGTCCAGGAATGGTGCTCTATGTAAGATTGGATAGATGGATGGATGATGCATGGGTGGATCAGCGGAAGTGTCGATGGATGGATGGATGGATGGATGGATGGATGGATGGATCTGTAATGAAAGAATGAACAACTCTGCAAGCCACTTGTTAGCCACCTGCAGGGTATGTGATATTTGTCTCCTTTTCCTGGTAACTCCCATCCCAGGGGTTTCCCTGGGTGACAGGAAGGATTGAAGTGGAGGAGAAAGAGTGTCAGGAAGAGAGCCAAGGACGAGGCTGGGCCATGGCCAATATTCCAGGATTGTTGGGACAGTGAACAGATTTGAAGAAGTAAAAATCTTCTCGGAGAATGATGCTGCTGCTGGCAAATGCCTCTGTGGGTTCCTGGACCTGGGCCTGGTTGGAGGAGGCTGAGATGAGTGGGGCATGGGAGGTACATCCTAGTTGCGGAGTCAGGTCATGAGCATGTAAAAAGTTAAATAGCCACACTAAGCTTTTGGCTCCATTGAGGATTATTTGATGATAGGAAATAAAAATCAGAGGAATAAAGAGTAAGAACAAAGGGCTGCTAAAGTGCTGCCCGGCCTCCTGGAATGTGGCAAACTGTCAGGTGGTGCTTGTCCACCTTTGTCCCTCTGTCTCCCTCTGGGATGGCATTGCTACCCTTCTCTTCTTCTTTCAGCTTAGGATCCTTCTCTGGGGCTTCCTCTGCAAGGAACTTCATTTCTGTGCTCTTAGAACTTCAGAATTTCAGCTCTTCCAGGATTTGGGTTTGCTCTGGCACCTAGTGTGACCCTAACTCTACGTGACCTTTCTGTGCCAGTGCCTTAAACTTTTTGTACTGTAGCTTCTGTATCTTTTAGTTCAAATTCTGGAGTGAGTAGGAAAAAGGAAAGAGATCAATTAGACTGACTTACCTTGATCATATGCTATCCCTCTCCTCCCACTACCAATCCCAGTCATGCAGGCCCACAGCTGGGGCTGTGTTGAAACTCACATGAAAGGGACATGGGCAGTGGGGATATTTCATCAAAGACAGATGCAAGAGACACTGCAAATGCATTTTGAATGAGGGAGGGGAATTCCCAGGAGTTTGGGCTGACCTGTGACATGGGGGGAGGACTCTGAGGTATGAAACCCATGAGATAGGGAGTATGGAGAATAGGAAGTTCACTAGGTTCAGGGATTAGTGTTTGGGGGATGATGGGAAAGTAGGTTTGGGACTCACTGAGTTTGTCAAAGTCTTGAAATAGGTGCTTCATTTAATTGAGTGAAGTTTATAGGGATGCAGAAGCTGCACGCACATTCCCTTCTGGGGGATGCTGGGATATAAGGGCAGGGTTCCCAGGACAGACACCTGGGACAGGTGCCCTGGGATGCAGAGATGTAGATTTGAAAAGGTTAAACCACAGTCACTCGCTGTGAGTGGGGAAAGAATCAGGCCACATGGTTTCCTCTAGTCTGGCCCCAGGAAACATGTTCCGAGTTCCTTAAGAGACCGTTGAAATGGAAAGAGTCTGTTTGTTTTGGGAGCCCCCAAAAGACCTCCACTCACTGAGGCCATCTGAAGTGTGGCTGGAAGCCCAGCTAACAGTTCAGAAAAGACTAGTTTCAAAGCCAATTCAGAGGTAAGAGGGTAACGACAAGGAAGAAGTCCAAGAAGCAGAGAGAGATATTCGAGGAAACACGAGCAGGGCAAGTTCTACAACTATGAAGAAGAGAATCTGAGCTGCAGGGCCCCGGAGGAGGGGGGAGAGTCCTAGGGGCTTGGAATCCAGTGACTTTCCAGGATGGGAGCCCAGGGTCACAGGTCACTGGGATTGTTCTCTAGGGTCTGGAGTAGTGTCGAAGACCAAGGTAACTCAGAGGGAAGATTGAACCTATGACCTTCCAAACACTGTCCAGGAGGAACTCTGTCCTATACCAGAGGAGGCCAGTTTAACTCAGAAAATATTTTAGGGAATGAACTGGTATCAGGAAGAAAACCAATGGCATATTGAGCAGTTGTTTGTCTCCTGGAAAAATCCATCCAGTTCAGGTGACAATAATGAGGAGGGCAGAATGGGTGCAGGCTTTCCCCCAGTCTGGAAGTTCTTGGGCATCCAGCCCAGAAGCACCTGCACAGACACCAGCCCCGACTCTTTCCTGGCTCAAGTGACTCCCCAGGGCCCTGGACATGTAGGGGAAGCTGTAAGGAAACTCTAGCTAGCAATGCCTGTTGGTGGTAATTGATCTGGCTAGAGGGTCAATGTGAATCATTAACTGAGAACTTATGACAAATTTCTGCATGTTATTATCTCATATTTGCGTTTGAAAGTCATCATCCTGGGTTGTGACAAAGGGGTATGCTCAATATAGAATTCCTGCTCTGGTTGAGAAAGTAGCTTTTGGCTGTGAAAACGACAGACTGTCAATTATCTGTGTTTCAGCCTTCACATTGAATTTCCTGCCCTGCTGTGAGGCAGTAACTAGCCACTCACCCCCTCTCAGTCTGCTCCATGCTGATCAGAAACATTCCTGTCCCTCTGTCGGAGCCATGACAATTCCGTTGAGGCAGAGGCCTGGATTGGAGCCCCTCTGCTTCCCTGGCCAGGCAGAAGCTCCACCTGTGGAACTCAGCCCCAAAACTTTTTGGGAGAAGAACAAAAAGCAATTCTGATTGGCTGAGCATCTTAGGAGTGTTGTGGCCCAAATAAATGCTTATTGTCATGGTGACAAGTTCAAGCCAGGAGTGACTGGGCATGAGGTGGATGGCAGGGGATGGATGGGGAGTGCATAGACATAGCCTGGAACAATTAAGACCACAGGTTCTGGAGTTAGAGTTGCGTAAATCCTTGCTTCACCATTTACTAGCTGTGTGTCTTTGGGCAATTTGCTGAACCTCATTAGCCTTGGTTTTCTCATTTGTCAAATGGGAATAATAACACCAACATCAGACGGTTGCGCTAAAGATTGAAGGGAAAAAATGCAGACAAAATACTGCTCCTCGAATGTACTCAAAAAGCATTAGCTTTCTTAGTGTCAACATTGCTGGTGCTACATTTGCACTCTGCTTGATTCTCAACGTCTGGTATAGGCAGCGCATGGAGGCAGGGAGAGCTAGCTGCATGCTTTAAATAACAGATCCATGAAGAATCTGTCACGTTTTGGAGACGCCAGCCAAAAAACATCTTATTTTCAGCCAAGCACTTTGTTTATCCAGCTACAGAGTGTGACCTGTTTATCAGAGACAAGGACACCCCAGCCCCATTTTTGTTACTTCTCAAGAACTACGGCTGGGTGTGGTGGCTCACACCTGTAATCCACCACTTTGGGAGGCCGAGGCAGGCGGATCACGAGGTCAGGAAATCGAGACCATCCTGGCTAACACAGAGAAACCCCGTCTCTACTAAAAATACAAAAAATTAGCCGGGCGTGGTGGCGGACACCTATAGTTCCAGCTACTTGGGAGGCTGAGGCAGGAGAATGGCATGAACCCGGGAGGCGGGCTTTCAGTCAGCTGAGATTGGGCCACTGCGCTCCAGCCTGGGCGACAGAGGGAGACTCTGACTAAAAAAAAAAAAAAAAAAGTACAGCCAGAGGAGAAAATTAAGTTGTGGCTTGGTTGCATCCCAAGATACAGATGTTTTCCTTTTTGATAGGCACCTTCGCCCTTCCAGGGGCCCAGTAAAACACCCAAGAACTGAGAATCACTTATGGTTGTTGGAGGAACTGATACCCTTTGAAAGAGGGTTGAGAACAGTGCGAATGTCATGTGATCTCTGCTATGCACAGAGTAGAAGGAACAAACCAATTAACTAATGGAATGTGGAGCATCTAGGGGAACTGCAGGGGCTCGGAAAAGCCAAGAAAAGCAGCAAAACGATCCCCACGTGGACAGGAGACTGCTGCTGAAGTGTGGCCAGAACTAAAACTCTAGTGGCTTTGACAAAATCTGGATCATTCTGCCAAGTTCTCTTTATTTTTGTTCTAGGATGGGCACATCCCTCTTTGAACAGCTAAGTTCCTATATCAGAGCCCAAATGCCAACCTTAATTCCTCTCTTTCTGGAATCCCAAGACTCTGCCCAGGAAGGCTTTGCTTTCATGCTGTCTTCTGTAGCAGGTGCACCTGGAAGTAGCTCCTCCACTGAATTGTCAGCCCAGGCTAAGGACACCAAGTCTCACCCAGACTTGAATCCTTGAGACAGGAGCAGATTTTTAGTGGGTGCCTAGCACATCCAATGAAGGATCTCTGGGAAAGTTGTGCAGTCCTCAATTAGCAATGTCTTCCATGGATTGGGGCACAATGAATAATGAATAATGAGTAGAATAATGAGTAATGAGTAGATGAATAATGAGTAGAATATGAGTAGAAATGAATAATGAGTAGAAACAGACAGGTGAGGCTTTCTTAGTGCCAACATTGCTGCAGGTCACTTGAGCAGTTGCCGAAGGTATAGACTAGACAGCCGTCTTTGGATTGGCAGCTAAGAATTCTTTCCCTTTGTATGATTTGCTCAAACTCTCAGCTCAAAGCATGGGGGTCATGAGAAATCACCAGCAAAAGGAGGGTAGAAGAAAGAGGGAGGATCTGGTAAAGGCCAATGTTCTTTCTCAGCTCCTGTTTGATCTGGTCAAAAGCAGATGCATTTGGACTCAGCCTGGGGAAGAAACCTCTGCATAAAAGAGACAAGCTAGGCCAGGGAGATTCCTGGCTTCTCCACCACTCAAAAAAAAAAAAACAAAAAAAAAACTGGATGCAAGAATTTCCACTGCAAATTGCTGGCCACATGTATTCTCCATCTAGAAATCATTTGTTAATCAATGAGTGCAGTTTTTTTCTTGGTATGTTGAATCACATCTGGAAATGATCTATCCCCATAAATTGATGCTCAGGAGATGATTAAAAAATTCTGATTGTGCCCAAATGAGTATGGAAATGTTTAATAAGGAGCTGGGATCCTGGGATGCCTGTGAGGCACATTCTTGAATCCTCATAGTCTGGACCTCACTTTGGGCAAAAGAGACCAAGTGGAGGATTAGGGAGGTGCTGGCTCAGTTTCTGTTTCCCACTCTAGTGTGGAGCAAGAGACCCCTGCTCCCCTGCTCGCCCTTCTCTGTCCATCTGGAGCCCTCCTTTCTATTGCTTTTTTCCCAGGGAGGACGAAAGGCAGGGAGGAGAACATGGGGATGACAAAGCACTGGCATCTCACAGAAACACCACGAGGATCTTGGCACATGGGGACTATGATTCTGTTTCACCCTTGGAGAGGTTAAGCCATGCTGTAAATCTTTTTGCGCCTGCAGTGCCATAGCTCTGACTTGCGCAAGGTCATGTAACAAGCTAGAGTCTTGTTGCTAGACTTCTAGTGCAGTGCTTTTTGTGTGCTGAGCTCTTTGGAACCCTCTGTCTCCTGAGCAGGTCTGTGGGGTGGCTCTTCCTGTCTTAGGACCAAACTGTTGAAATTTGGAGGACACTGGGGGTATGCATGTGTTCATGTATGTGTGCATGTGGACATGGGGGGGTGCATCTGTTCATGTATGTGTGCATGCATGCATACATTTATGCAGATATGTGTATCTGCACGTGCATGTGTTTGTGTGTGTGTGCACAAGCCTGTGTCTGTATGTAGGTGTTTCTGCATTTCTGTGTCCTCCGTGTGCATGTGTTGGGCCAGGAGTCAATGTAATGTGTACACCTATATGCCTGTGTCTATATGCTTCGGTTACCATTACCAAGGGCCCTACTCAGGATGTTTAGTACCCAGCCTACCACAGTCACTGACCAATCAGAATAAACACTGTCAGTAACTCAGCATTGGCTGGAGTCCTGGGAGGCCAGAGGGTCCTGCGGGAGAAGCCGGAATGACTGGGGTATGTGTGAGAGTTTGGGGAGCTTGGGGGGCAGCCCCTATATACGAATTGGTCCAAAAGTACTTCAATACTTTAACGGCTGGCATGGCCTTCCTTGTGCTAATTGGAAGAATATCAGTCCTTCTGTCCTCAGAAATAAACCTGGGTAAGTGATTAGGAAGATGTGTGCCGGTTAATGTTTGATTTTCAACAAAAGGAATGACACAATTGAATTTGACAAGTTAGAGTACTCTGTTGGCTCTAGACAAGTTATTTAATCCCCCTGAAAAATTGGGATGATCATACCTACCTTTGTATAAGGTTGGTGTAAGGGTGAAATAAGCTTACACCCATATGGTGTGCCTGGCACGTGGAAGTTGTTACTATTATTGGTGTCATCAGTTTTATTATAAAATGGCACAGTGAATGTTTCCAGGTATGATTTTGGAGATCACACAGATCTGGAGTTTATGCCTACTCGGCTGTTCATAAGTTTTAAAAGTGAAGCTACTTAACCTTTTTGAGTCTCAGTTTCCCCGTCTGTAAAATAAAGACACAGGATGTTACTATGCATTTGTTGCAGCACTATTAACATGGCCTTGCAAGAAGTGATCTGGAGCTGAGCTCTGTTAAATTACTCCTGATGATGACGGTGATGGTAATGATGATACTATAGGGGCTCCCCTCTGAAGTCTGCCAGAATCTGAAGGCCTTTAGAGATCACTCGGTCCTATTGTTTATTTGCACAGATGAGACTGATGTGGTCTGTGGAGGTGTGATGGGGGCCTGACCTCAGGCCTCCCTGGGGCTGCGACCTGCGGGCCCACTGAGGCATGAGCAACCTCCAGCTGGGAATGGCCTCCCCACGTTGCTGAGCCCTGGGCTGCACAGCCGACTTTGGGACTTGGAGAGACATCAGTGCCGGATGATGTGCATTTCATTACTTTCAATAGATGTGTAGGTTGTTGTTGAAGACTGATAACTTGCTCCTGTTCATCACACGTGTGCTGTGGCAGACACCCTCCAGGGATTTGGGCTTTGAGTGACTTCAGGGTGGGAGAGGAGAAAAGAGGGCATCACTGGACCTCTTCCCTGGTGGATGGAACAGCGGCATGGCTTGTCCAGGTTAGCAGGCTATGCCGGCCTGGTCCCCTGAGAAACCTCCTCCCCACATTTTGAGGCCTGCATACATGCTGCCCTTAAGTATGTATGGCAGAGGCAGAAACTCAACAGAGACATAAGCTTCCCAGCATCAGGTACCAAACATGACAGAAACCTATTGCGACTTTAGGAGATGGTGAGAGAGGTAGAGGTGTTTGATGGGTACTCAGGGATGATCAGATAAAAGCACTTGGGCAGCATTTACATTGCATGACACTAGTCTGAGAAGTTTACACAATGAACTTCTAAGTCTTCACCAGAACCCTCTGAGGTAGTGCAATGATTATTCCCGTTTTATATATGCAGAAGTGGAGGCACAGAACAGCTCCCTAACCTGTCCAAGGTTACCCCTAAGTGCACAAGAGAGCTGGAATTAGAACTCAGGCAGTTGGGCCTGGAGTCTGTTCTTTTCGTGTTCTCAGTTGGAGGCTGGGACAGAAGGACACAGCCTCTTTCCCTTGGTGAGATTTGGGCTGAATGCTGGGAAACTGTGAGCAAGGACATTTTCTCCAGGCAAAGAGAACAGCCCTGGAGCTTCGAGGAGGGCCTGGGCCACTCACTCTGCATTCCTCAGCCAGCAGCCACACTCAGTTGCCTGGTGAGCCTCTGGAGAACGCCAGGGCATCATCAATCACAGCATGGCCCCTCCTGGGGACTGGCCCCGCCTCACCCTGCCTTTCCTCACTCACTTGCTGAGTTCTCACGGAGAAAGGGATGGGAAGGGAGCACAGCCTTCCCTTGAAGCACTGGCTCCTGGCATCCATGAAGATGTGTGGTTGGGACCAATTCTGCCCTGAAGTTGATCAACAGGGTTATGTTGAGCCCCTGCCAGGAGCTTGGGACCCCAGTCATGGGCTATGGAAGGGATGAGACCCGTGAAACCCAGGCCCAGCCAAGGGAGGGCACGGGACAAACTAATAGGAGGAAAGAGGGCAGTTGGCTTAGAGAAGGGGGAGGTCTGCAGGTTGGGAGATTGGGGGTCCCAGAGGAGGGGGCCTCTGGGAGCCTTTTTGGGGCAAGGAAGTGAGTGAAGGGGTGGCATCCCACTGAGAAAAGAAAGGGAAGGGGTCTGGCTTCTGCCAAAGCCCTGGAGGCACATCTGCTGAGCCCTTTTCCCCAGATGTCAGAAGGGCTGGCAGCTGCTCAGGGGGCAGGGATCCTGCCAGCTGGGGCTGGCCACAGAGCCCCTTCCTGTGTGCGGCACTGAACAGAGAGCTGTGTTGAGCTCATTTGCTTATCCTCATGTATTCACCTCCCTCAGCTCCTCTGTGTGCCCCCAAGGTTCATGATAGGGACTGGAGGTGATGTATTGAGGGAACAAGAAAAACTAAGGAAAAGTGACCAGGGGTCTCCCTACTCTGACCTTACTGTCCCAGCAGAGCTTGCCTGGGGCAGAGGGCTGGCCATGCCTGGAGGAGTTAGGTATGGCCTTTACCAGTCCCCATAGATCTCTAGATCTGTGTCTGGGGGACACAGGACTATTCTGGTGGTGCTGCAGGAATGTGTCAGGAGGAAGCCTGAGCCCTGACCAGCACCCTTCACTCTTCAGCTTTTGGGGAAGGGCTCTCCTGGTCCAGCCTTGGTTTACACTGACCTCAGCGTCTGATCCTCAAAGCAGCACAGTGGAGTTTCCTGGGAGGCAGGCCATGGCAGGAAGAAGGCCTCCACCTGCTCCCCGAGGGAAGACACAGATAATCAGGGCCATCCTCTTTCCCTTTCCTCTTCAGAGTCTGTAAGTGACCAGAAAGGAGAGCTCATCAGGCTTTTCACACGCTGAAGGACTGGAAGGTTGCTTTTCTCTGTGTGAACAGCTGGAAAAGCCAGTGGAGAGTTTCCATCTCAGTGGGCAATGGGCTCCTTCCTCCTGTCCCTGAGCAGTCCTGGTCTCGTCCTAGCCTGAGCAGTGACAGAGGAGAGGCCCAAGGGTCTGGATTCTCAGGGGTTTCCAGACCTGGAACGGAACCTTTCCTGGGGCTGTCTGACAGTCTCACCTCCCGCTCTCTGTTTCATTCTGAACCACTCACATTATACTTTAGCACTTAATTCAACAGTCATTGAAAATATGCTGGTTTTAGTTTTTTCATCGTTTTGACCTAAGATCATGTTGGTGCCAATTTCCTTTAAAATAATTCTCTACCTGTGGGCCACTGGCGTGAAATCCCAGCGGCAGCCCCCGCCGACCCTCCCTCTGTAATTCCATGGCCTCCCCTCGCTCACGCTCCCCTCAGGGTTCCTTGGCCTCTGTGTTTATACACTAATGTTTTTTCTCACACATTCATTGTGCAGCTTTCCTTAATTTGGTGTCCCGCCGGGCGCCAGCAGGAAGCCACTCAAACATTATGTCAGTGATCTCAAAATTGAACCCCAGGGCTTTCTTCTGCCAGCAGATGTGTGGCACACTTTATTAACTCAAGTACCCACGAGTTGAAAATTTCATTAGTTTGAGGGGAGGGCTAAGTCCCATCAAGAGACCTGGTCTGGACAGATTCTTTGTGTCAACCTGACCCCTAGCAAAACGGATTATTGTTCTAAGTGAGACAAGTGACCTAATGTTCTGCCTATTATGCACACATGGTCTGTAACCTTTTAAAATACGAGTGTGGGAAAACAGCACATTCTGCCACATCCCTGACCAAAAATTCCTGACAGGTGGCAGCCGGCCTCTTAGCAACGCCACCAGGAGCCTGGAGTTATCCAGGGGCCACGGTGGTTCCCTTAGGCCAGGTACAGGGCGGAGTTGGGAGACCTCCTGCTGGGAGGAAGGAGCCCATGAAGGCAGCGCTCAGCCTCCAGAGCCACCCTGTGACAGGTCAGGGGACAGCCTTGGATGGGCCATGAGAGCCCACCTCCTGTATCCCCTTAAGGTGGTCCCCCGGCTTTCCACCAGACTGGGAGACTCACAGGGAGGCAGTTTGTTTGCTGTGCTAAGAAAATTTCCCAAGACTCTGTGCTGGGCACTGAGTGCAGCCACATCCCTGCACAAGACTCCCTTCTCACCTGCTCACCCAGGCCCTCTCACACTACCTTGTTCCAAGTGGCCTGATATTCTGCCTGCTAGGCACACATAGTCTGTACCCTTTTAAGGTACAAGTGGGGAAGAAGGACACTTTCTGTCACGTCCATTACCACAAATTCCTGACAGGTGGCAGCTGGGCTCTGTGGGAAAAGGACCAACATGCTCAGTTGAGCTTAGCACCTCCTGAGGCCTCCTTAGCAAGGCTGGAGCCTGGCCTGTGGAGGAGACAGGTGTCCCAGCTGTGGCCCAGAAGTGTGCAAAGGTTGAGGGTGAGAAGGTGGAAAGACTATGGGGTTGGGCAAGGAGGTATAATCTCCGCTTGGAGCATGGCTGGAGGAGAGCAGGTAATGGAGGGGTGGGGAGGGCTCCCAGGAAGGAGGGCCTGAGCAGGGCATGAACAGGCCAGAGAAACAGGGTGAGGAAGGGTTCTGGGAAGGAACAGGCCAAGGTGTGGGCCTTGGGTGGAGTTTCGGGGGATGCGAAGCGGAGGCTGTAATAATGCACAGCACGCTTGCTCTGGACTGTTTTGGGCTCGGACACAGAGCAGTCCCTAGGCTGAGAGACCCCAATGGAGTGGGGACAGGCAACATTCTTCGTGGTACCTCTGTCTCCAGTGGGCCTGTTGTGGGGATGCATCTTCTGACAAACCCGTCTCTTTTGGGGTAGATGAGAATTCCTGGAGATCCAGGAATGCAGCCTTCAGGCCTGGGTTTGTTCTCCCCGGAGTCTCTGTGACCTGGCCTCCCAGAGAGCTGAGGGTAGGTCTGCACTGGCCCCTACCTTCTGACAGACACAAAGCAGAGCTGGTTGTAAAAACTTAATTAAATGAAATATTTTAACAAGAAATTCCTAGAACAGAATGCCCTGCTCGTAAGCAAGCCATCACAGAAATAAAAGCTGACAGAAAGCGTGTGTTCTGTCCAGGAAGAGAAAGTTTCTGCAAGAAACAAGATAGTGCAGAGAGCTGGCCTGTGCTGGACCAGTGGCTGAGCAAGCTTGTTCCTGGAGTCAAAGCCAGGCAGACTCGGGACACAGCCCTGGGGCTGTGACTACTTGGCTCAGGAATGCGTGAACTCCAGACCATAATTCAGGCATTCCACACACTTTTCCTGAGCACCTACTGTGTGCTGGGCAGTGTGCCGGGCTCTGGGTATACAATGCCTTCGGCGTTCACCAGGTGCTCCTGTGAGAGGGCTATTTTGCAAGATGAAGAAATGGGGGCTTAGGGAAGTGATGCAACAGGGTACCACTGAGGCAGAGCTGGGACTGGAACTCAGGTCTGCGAATCTTCAAGTCCAAGCTCTTTACCACCTCACCTACTCTTTACACAACAGCTCAGTTAGCAAAGGTGCTGAAGAGGAAACTCGACTGCATTTGCAGGCTGCTAAATTGTGGCTGGCCCCATGCAAGGCCACCTCTGGGGCTGGAGTGTGCCATTGTACCTTCCTGGGGGAATGCAACCAAATCCTGTCCTCACACTGGAGTGAGAGTGGACAGAGACACTCATTCCCATACTGAGGAAAGGGCCCGCAGATCAGAGTGTGTAGCTTGCATAGTGGACTTCCTGGAGGAGGTGGCACTTGAGAGGACCTTGAATGTTTCTGTAGAGAGTCAGGGGAGGATGTGCCCCTACATAGGAGGGGAAAGGGAGTAAGCCACACCTGAGAGTGGGCAGCAGAGCATGGAGTGATGCGAAGTGGCAGGAGGAGCCTGCACTGGAGGCGAGAGTGGAGCCTGGCTCAGGGACTGACTCTCCAGGGAAATGTTGCCCTCTGCATGTGTCAGTAAGGATGAGGTGACAGAAACATCTCTTGCTCCCTTGCCCATCTCGGGTGAGTGTGAGAGAAATGCATTGCATGCACAAGCCAAGGAACTGCCTTGATTTCTCCTGATTGATTATTTCCCAGGCTAGAAGGGTTTTGGGAACAGCAGAGTCAAATCCTTCCTGCCACCCGGTGCCTTTGTTCCACACCATCTTCCAGTGGCCTCAGTAGGACTTGGCTCAGGGCCAACCTGATTTAAGAAAATTCCATCAAAAAATCCTGACATGCAAAGAAGACTCATTTTAGGTAAAATGGTTCACAGGGTAAGAGGAAACTTTGTTTTACAGGAATATTCTCCATCAGGTTATCTTATATTGTAAATTTCAAATATTCTTTGATTTATTCAAGGAAATGCCCAAACTTTACAGGATATGGTGAGCGCGTAAAGTGAGACAGGGCTGTGTTTTGTTCAGAAATTAGCTTACAAGTGCCTCTTTTTTGCAGCAGAGAAATTATCTTTAAACTCTATCCCCTACACTCCCCCAAGGACTCAGCCCCCTACTGCCCCAGGGAGTCTGGAGAAGGAAAGGGGAGTCTAGGGGCGGGCTAGTCCTATGTTTGGATGACTCTCTGCCTCTGGTATTATTGGGGAGTTGAGGTTGTATGTGCACTCCGTCCCAGCATCATGGCTTTGCCCCATTCACAGAGCTGAGGGGGAGACCCTGCATCCACGGCTTATCTCTGTACCTGTCATAGGAAAGAGTCAGCCCTGCATGGGCAGCCAGACCTGTGAGTGGGGAGGCAGGGTGCCCGGGACGGGGAGGCAGAGGTGGAGGCTAAACCCACTCAATAGAGCATGACAGCAAGCCCTCAGTCAGCCTCATGAAACTGCAGCCCCTTCCATCTCCCATCCAAACCTTTTTCTGAGAGAACAAGCCTAGAAATGCCACTTTAGTGTGTGTGCTTAGCCAGTCAGAGGACGGCAGCACACACCAGTGCTGAGTGAGTTGTCTCAGAGGCATCCATGCAAGGGAATGATTGTTTTCAGCAAACTCAGGGAATCCCCAAGAGGAGGCCCTTCAATTACCCAGCCACTAGGTGAGACATGGAGGAAAACTGACGAGACCTCAGGGGAAGCCCCTTGGAAGGGCCTGGTTGATTTCAGTTTGGCCTGGGGAGTGACACAGGCGAGGACAACTAGATCAAGGCAAGCACGTGGCCTGGGTGTGCTTCAGCAGGGATCGGGGGGTCTTCAAGGACTAAGAGACATTCTTTGCTGGGCCTTGGAGGATTTTTGTATAGAGAATAAAAAGAAACGGTCACAGAGGCGAAAAGCTTAGATGGTATAGAAGGACCCGGGCTCATTCAGTTCATCTGGAGCATGTTATTGTTCTCTGAGTTCCCATTTTACAGATGAAGTAACTGATGAACAGAGAGGTGAAGTGACTGTCCCAGGACCCCATGGCTGGCGAGTGGCACACTTGGAACTCACACCCACGTCTGTCTCCCAAGTGTGCTCTGTGACCTCCTGCCTCTTCTGTCTCCGTGATCCCAGAATCCCTATAAGTCCTCCTCATTTGGGCCCCTCCCAGATTGAACACCATGTCCAGCCTCCTACATCAGTGCCTTGTTTATTTCTCTGCCCTGAATGCTTAGGAGAATGCCTGGCCTAGAGAAGGGGCTTAACAAATAGCTACTGAAGCAATAATTTTGCCTTGAGAAGGAAGATTTCATCTGTCCAAAAATCTCAGGTGAAGAGGAGAAGGAAGCACGAAATCATTTAAGTGCTTCATAAAAGCCATGCACTTAAAGGCTTTACCTTTTTCTCCTTTGTTTTAATTCATTAAATACATAATATAACTAAGTCAATTAGTAGTGCCATAAGCACCTACAAACTCACCCTCCAGCATGAGAATGAGGGCATGAGGGTCACCCACGTTGACCCATGAGTCCTCACCCTCCCTTCCCTGCCTCTCCCCACCAGATCGTAACCTATCCGGAATGTTGAGTTTAGCATTCCCTGGCTTCAAAACTATAATCCTAGAAAACAAAGCATTTTGTTCTTGATTTTAACTATATTAAAAGAGTCTGGCAGCCGGGCTCAGTGGCTCATGCCTGTAATCCCAGCACTTTGGGAGGCTGAGGTGGATGGATCATGAGGTCAGGAGATCAAGACCATCCTGGCCAATGTGGTGAAACCCCATCTCTACTAAAATACAAAAAATTAGCCGGGCGTGGTGGCACATGCCAGTAATCCCAGCTACTCTGGAGGCTGAGGTAGGGGAATCGCTTGAACCTGGGAGGCGGAGGTTGCAGTGAGCCAAGATGGCGCCACTGCACTCCAACCTGGTAACAGAGCAAGACTCCGTCTCAAACAAATAAACAAACAAACAAAAACAAAAATAAAAACAAACACAAACCAAAAAACCCAAAAGAGTCTGGCACTGCATTTCATCTTCCAGGACTTGCATTCTTATTCCCTATTATGTTGTGGTCAGATTCCTCTAAGTAGTTGAGTATAATTGTAATTGTACGTCATTTATTTTGACTTCTGTCAATAGAAAACCATCGATGCATTCATTCGCTGTTTGCCAGGCTCCATGTATGTTAACCTCATTTAATCTTTGTAACAACTCTGTAACATAAGATGGGGCCACTTTCTCCTCCTGCTCAGAGTTGCTTAACCTATTTTTCTCATTGATCTCCATTTTAATGATGAAAACTGAAGGTTAGGAAACTCAAGTGACTTTTCTGAAGTTAAATAACTCATGAATGATGAAGCTTGAATTTGAGAGCGGGGACTTCTTTTGAGAGGAGGGAAGTATTGACTGCCTTGGTTCCCAGCCTCAGCTCAACAGAGCTATGGGGCAGCAGTCGGCCCTCTCTATTGTTCTTTCCAGGATCATCCAACATCCCATGTGATTATAGAAATGTTCTAATGACTCTAGCTCTGATCCCACTTCAAAGGCTTTAGGTCTCCTGGAGCTATACTGAGCTCCATTACTCCAGAAAGACCTTGGCACCAGCCTGGATGAGCCCCACCTGATGAAAAAGCAGAGGAATGGAGAGAGAATTGGTGGAGCTGGGCTATTGGTCCAGCTGTGCTTTCCTTAGGCACTGTTTCTGGGTTAGAATCTAAACTCTGGATGCCTCTGCTCACTGTGGTTTGGTGTTCATGCTGCACAGCTGACAGCCCAAGCCACAGTTTAAAAACAAGGGTGGGGACACAGGTCTTCAGTTCATGAACCAGTCCACCTTCAAGGCCTGAGTCATCCCTCTCACCCCAAGAATGGGCTTTGGTGGTGTCAGTCCAGGGAGTAAAATGGACACAAGTGTCAGTGTTAGCGCCTAGTGCCCTGGCATTGTTGACTTGAAGCACTGCTCAGATCTGGGGAAGGCATGAGCCAGTCTATGTAGCAGAATAAAGGCAGGGCCCTCTCCTTGTGGAAACATGTGCACCTACTCCACCAACTTTTATGAGGCCCTGGAATGTTATTTGTTGGTGACCACCCAACCATCCCACCAACAAATGGAGCACTCTGAAGGGAGTTACAGCTGACCTCTTAATGTGAAACAGCATACAAGGAGATGAGCTAAGAGGTAGGGTCTGTTTCTGCACATTTATCTCTGGTTATTAGACACTTTTAGAGGGAACATCTGTTTGTCCACTCTGGCTCCCATATTGCAGGCCCCATTTGAGGGCCAGCTTGGCCCCTTCTCTGACTGAATTGGGACTAAGTCATAAATTAGATTCAGAAGGGGACCTAGAATAGGGAGTTAGAGGGGGCTTTGCTCAACTCACCAAAAAAGGGGAATTGAGCTATTCAACTGACCGGGCTTCAAGTAAAAAGCAGAAGAAAATGGAGGTAGCTCTGAAGACATCTGGTGGTGCTGAGTCCCATTGGACCCATTTCTTATCAGGTTTATCCTGAGGACAGCACCACTACTCTAGGCGGGACCTGGGAGTCAAACCAAAGCACACAGCTTGATCATGCTTCTGAAGCCCCAGGGACTTGGGCTGGGCTCCATTATTTGATTTCTCCTTTGGTTGAAAACTTTAGATATTTGTTTAATGGGAGGAATATCTGTATTTATAGCAGGACTTTCCACGTCACCTCACAGTATGTTCTTAGCAGATGTACCTGTTGACTTACTCCCAGGACAATAGGGCAATTAACTGTACAAAAGGAAAAACTCTTTGTTTTCTTGTTAAGTTTCTAAAGATACTTATACAAACATAAAATTAATGCAATTATTGGTTAAAATCCTCATTTTTCCCTACTCCTTTGGATATTGTTTCTCTAGCCCACATTTCCAACTGGCCTGCTAGATATCTCTGCTTAGACACATGATTGCAAATGGAAACTCACTATGTGATCCAGTAGTCCCATTCCAGCTGTGATAGTCAATGAGTCCATGTCTTATACTAATAATCTCCCACTCAACACATTCCTCCCATTTCTACTGAGGCTCCATAGTCCTTCAAGTTACACAGGTTCGGAATTTCCTAACTCTGAAGTCTGCTTTACCTATTCTTCCTTGTTCCTATGTTCCTCTCTCTCTCTCCTGCAACCCCTCCAGTTCCCGGCTTCAGTGACTTACCAAGGCAACTCCATTTCTAAGAGCTTTTGCACCCATCCTTTGTGTTTTACTCAATCAGCCACCTGATTCTGTCAATTCTGCCTTCCCAATCTTCTTCTATCCTACCCTCCTCACCATTCCCAACCCTAGGACTTGACTGAGGTGCTCCTCATCTGTTACTTGGACCCTGGCACAACCTCATAGATGTGGTTTGGGTCTGTGTCCCCACCCAAATCTCACGTCAAATTGTAATCCACAATGATGGAGGTGGGGCCTGGTGGGAGGTGACTGGATCATGGGGGCGGATTTCTCCTTTGGTGATGTTCTCGTGATAGTGAGTGAGTTATCATGAGATCTGGTTGTTTAAAAGTGTGTAGCACCTCCCCACACTTCCTCCTGTTCCAGCCATGTAGGTTGTGCCTACTTCCCCTTTAACTTCTGCCATGATTATAACTTTCCTGAGGCCTCCCCAGTCATGCTTTCTGTACTGCCTGAGGAACCATAAGCTGATTAAACCTCTTTTCTTTTTAAATTACCCAGTCTCAGTATTTCTTTATAGCAATGCCAGAACGGACTAATACACTCATATCCAGATTCACCCCATTACAATTCATTATCTATAGGTTGTCATGTTGGTTTTCCGAAATCACAATGCATGTCACCCTTCTGCTCAAAAACTTTTACTGGATGTCCTTCAGCAAAGAGAGTGTCATCTTTTTACTCTGACATTCGAGCCCTCTGCAGTACTATAGATCTGCCTTTCCAGTCCTCTCTCCTTACCTTTCCTGTGCTTTGGCTAAACTAGATAATCCAGTGTCCTTACAACACACCCAACTATCATTCTTTACTCGTCTTCTTCCTAGACCACCCTCTCTCTCATCTGTTTATTAAAGTCAATGTATATTCGAGATCCATTTCAATCTTTTCTATAAAAATCCCCTGATTCACAACTTTCCTCTTTTAAATCCCTCATAGTACTTTGGTTATATCCACCATGAGAAAACACGTTTCACCTTTGACAGATAAATGGGCAGACAGACCTCCAGGAACTGCATCTTATTGATCTCTGTCTCCTCTATAGAGCCACTGCACAGTGCCTTACACATAGAGGTGTTTTATCAATGCACACTGAACCAGACACGTAGCCCTGCCTCCATTCTTTCTTCTTGCCATAACGTCATTTTAATAATCATCTAATGATAATGGCAGCTTTTCTCTACAGGACATTAAAGGTTGCAGAACTCTCATATATGTTATTTCAACTGATTTTCATGAAAAGTCCTGCAAGGCAGGCAGGATAGATATTATCTCCATTTCATAGGTAAGAGAACTGAGGCTTGCAGAGGTGAAATAAGTTGCACTGAGTACAAGCAAATAAAAAATGTAGCTATTAATTGAACCAGAGAAGTATCCAGATATGCAGTAGAAGACCTAAGAAGGGAGCAGGCAAAGTCCAAGTCCCCACAAGGATCCCTTGTTCTTCAAACTTTATTCAGTACAACAAAGACATTCTGAGCTCATCAGGGGCCCTTTGTATGAGGGACACTGGTCAAGGAACTGGGCAGTGGGTACCATGTGACTGCACAATCATTTTGGATTTGTGGCTATTTTTTTTTCTTTTCAGCACTAGATAGATATCAACAAATAAGCACTGGGAATCTTGGACTCCCTCTTTCCCTCCAAATTAAGCCACAATTCCAGGCCTCCTTTCAGTTTGAACACTCACTAAATTTTTGCTGCTTATAGCTCATCAGGGAAACTCTTGCAGAACTATTCCTGGAACTATTCCATGTGGTGCCTTGGGATTTGAGTCTAATTTCCATGTTTCTCTCACTCTCAAAACTGACCCCTCATTTATCCACTCATTTATTCGCTCACCCACCCATCCATCCATCCATCCATCCATCCATTATCCAACAGACTTTCCTTGAGTACCAGATTCATACACTACCGTATTATAGCTCCATAGACTCTTTCTCACTCTTCAGTTCAGTACAGAAGAATATTGTTAAGGCTATGTGTTTCCTTTTCCAGGTAACGCCTGTGCATTTTAACAGTGGGCTTCACCAAGAGAATGTGAAGCTTTATGAAAGAATGGTGGAGGTTGAAGGATTTTTGAATTAAAAAAGGAGGTCTTTTCCAAATAGACCTCATGTAGGATTTGGGAGGTGGTGACCTCCAATTTCTTATTGCCCCCAAGTTACACTCTTCTTTGCTCTTCAGTGTCATGGAAAAGAATGCGCTGTTTTATATCTACCCTTGTCAGTAATATGAGTGCAAGTTTTGTTGCACAGGTTTTTTGCAGCTTTCTCTTTCTAGAGCTCAGCTTGGAGGCTCTGACTGGATATTGCCAGTGTTTAAAATCAGAGTTTGAAGTGAGTGGATGTGGCAGGAGAAACCCTTGGGTTTTTACTACACTTGGGATTGTTGGATATTATATTTGGAAAAATAAGGATGCTTAAGAGCCTAAAGAGCATACATGTATGCTGGGTCACAGAATTGTTAGGAATCTACATCTCCACCCCTCCTCTCCCAATCATACTTTCTTGGCCTTGAATGGATCCTGGCAGAGCTCCAGGGAGACATCTGGGGTCCGTATTGCCATGAAGCCCCTGGGGCTAGGACTCCCTAGCCATTCCTTCTCCACTCCTGGCAGGCTGAGTGAAATAAAGGACTTGTTATTTCATCTCGAGGCCTACCGGAGAGCCTTGCCTTGCAAAGGCAGACAGTCAGTGAGGAAGACTATGTGGCACATGAAGACACCAGAGGTGTTCCTCAGGATCAAAGTATGTACAAGCCTTTGTGAATATTTTTTCCTTCTCACTTGGCAAATACAATTCCTGAGATCAATAACCTCGTCTTTTTAATTTTTTCCTCGTCTTTTTAACTATTTATAAAATATTGAATTATAAAATATGTAATTATAAATACTTTAATTATAAAATATGTAATTATAAATACTTTAATTATAAAATATGTAATTATAAATACTTTATAAAATATGTAATTATAAAATATGTAATTATAAACATTTTAATTATAAAATATGTAATTATAAACATTTTAATTATAAAATATGTAATTATAAACATTTTAATTATAAAATATGTAATTATAAACATTTTAATTATAAAATATGTAATTATAAACATTTTAATTATAAAATATTTAATTATAAACATTTTAATTATAAAATATTTAATTATAAATATTTTAATTATAAAATATTTAATTATAAATATTTTAATTATAAAATATTTAATTATAAATATTTTAATTATAAAATATTTAATTATAAATACTTTAATTATAAAATATTTAATTATAAATATTTTAATTATAAAATATTTAATTATAAATATTTTAATTATAAATATTTTAATTATAAAATATTTAATTATAAAAACACAATTACCTCATCTTTTTAAATATTTTTGCAAAATATTTCCCTCCATAATTTCTCCGTTTCCATTTTTATTCTGTTACTTAAATCACACTATGTGTTCTAGAGGTTTTGCTGTGCCAGAACATTTTATCAATGCCCTCGTTTCACTGTCTTTCAATACAAATGAGCCACATTCAGTGGTATGATACACAATAAAGACTCCATTTATTTGTTCCTCCTCCCCCAAGTTTAGCAAAATAACTCAGATCCTGATTTTCTTTAACTTGCAAAAAATGCCATCCTTCTGAGTTCAGAGACCTTCCGAGCCCTGGTGCCAGCTTTGGTGCAGGTCCAGTTCATATGTGCTTCTGCTTATAGTCTACTGCCTACTGCAAGGCTGGCTCACTGTATGGTTTTATCAATATAGGCAGTTTGAATTTTTTCTGTGCTATGTGAAAGTTCAATTGGAAAAGAAGAATAAATGAAGATTTCTTTTAAAAAATTAGAGGATGATAGTAAGTTCTCCTGGAGCAAGCTTCATGTAGGGGTTCATGACTGTGGTTGATTGCAGCTTTTTCAGTAACTCCGTGATGTATATCAGAAATGTGTGGTAGTTTTGAATGGACAGGTCAATCAATCTTTTGGATTCAGCAATAAATTTTTCATAGTAATCAGAGAGTTGGTCTGAAAAATCTTGCAGTTTATATCTAAACTGCTGGTGGTAATCAGAAATTATTTTCTTCGTCGCAATGGCCTGGCTTTTAATTATTTCCTGAGCAGTGGCAGAAAGCTCTGCAATCTTCTCTTTCCCTTTTCCATCTGGATCGGTAAGGATGCTAAGATATTCCTGAATATTTCTGTGCAGAAATTGCTCAACTTGACTTGAGAGTTGGGAAGTAAAGTTAGAGGCACTGACAATATATTCAGAATGGAAGTCCTTAAGAGCAACTAACAGGTTCTTGATCAGACTGACTATCTTTTCTTCAAGTTCATAATATTTCACTGTCCAGCCAACTATACTTGGATCAAAATATTCTTCACGAAGGGCCATAATGTATTGATGGATCTGCTGTAACTCTTGAGAAGCTTCCTGAAGCTCGTTTTGAATAAATTCATTGAACTTATGAAGATTAAGGCATAGGTTTTCTTTCAACAATTTAAAAACATATGGGATATAATCACTGAAGATTGTGTTGATCTCATCTTGGATATAATTAATAAGATAAGTAAATTTCATCTCTTTCAGCTGTTTAATGTTATCTTCTATTAGTTGGAAAATGAATTGTAAAAGGTCCTGAAGATTACGTAGCACCTCTGTGGTCTTGAGAGACTGAATGGCTTTAAATACCTCTTGGGCTTCTTTTGATAAATCTTTCAACAGTTCCCTATACATCGAGATTACATCTATTAGTTTATGTTTCCTTAACTCGAAAGGAAGTGTAATCACTAGGTCTTGGAAATAGGAAAACAGTATTTCTGAACCATTATGGACTTTCGAATATACCTGGGACAGTACCGTCCCTACCTCCCTTATGAACATAGTGCAAAGTTCCTCCCTAGTGTATATCCCAGGTTTCCCCGGAAACTGGAATCTGGGGAAGTTCAGAAAATCAATGAGTGAGTCAATCAGATGCTTGACTTTCATATGGAATTCTTGAGTAACTCGTACCAAGCCATCAAACACGTTATCCTTGAGTCCCTGGAAACTGGCTTGGCCTTCCTGAGTCAACAGTTCCTGGTACAGATTCTGGGCCTTGTCCTTCCACTCTTGGTAGGTCCCAGTGGTGCCACTGGCTGCTTTCTGGAACCTCACGTCGATATCATCAATTTGCCTAATGGCCCCTTGATAAACCCACTCAGCATTGTTCTGCAGATTTCTTCTCAGCTTTGAAGACACTTCTCTCAGGGTGAGCCCTGTGTGTTCCCAGTGGTACTTGTTGACATAATCATAAAGGACCCCTGTGGCCTTGGGCACGTTGTCTTTCAGAGAGGTTAGCAAGCCAGAAGCTGCCTCTTCTTCCCAATTAACTTTGATCTGAGTTTCCTCATCAGATTCCCGGACCCTCAACTCAGTTTTGAATATGGTGAGTTTTTTATCTGGAGAGGACTAAACAGAGAGAAAAAAAAAAATAACATGTTTTCAATTACTCCAATTACACAATATAGTACACTAAAACTTCATTAGCAGTTAAAAATAAAGATCAGAGAATCTTTCATATACTGAAAGGGATTTATCTTTCATATGTCAGTTCATGTGTTTGTTTTATGGTTAAATAAGTCTACTGTTGTTAATTTCTCTTTATCACATGCCCCAGAAAGGATTTAACAAAAACGCTTGCTGTTTGTCATTTACATTGTGACACTTAAAATTAAAGCCTTCCTAGGACTGAAAACTGGAAGAGGAGTGGGGGGAAGAGAAAGAAGAGGAGAGAGAAGAAGAGTCAGGAAATGACAGATAGGAAAAGAAGAAATAGCAAAAAAGGCAAGTTGGAGCCCACCCTGCAGAGACCCAGAATCCCAACATCAGTACGCATTCTCCAAGCCCATGACAAACTTTTAGTAACAGTCATAGAACCATGTTTGGTCTTCTCCTCTGGTAATGTCACCCTTGATTTGGCCCTGGCAGAGCTTGTAAATGACATGAGAGGAATTTGATGTATCTCATCTAGCAATTCTATTGTGGGGAAGAATTTTAAAGTTTTAAATACTACAGAAACCAGTCCTCTCTGAAAAATATACCCTGCCTATGGCTGAGCTTGCCTATGATTTAGATGATGAGGTATAACCCTCATCTTCCTGGATTTGCCCAGAATTAATAAATAATAGTGCTGATGGGATGTCATGTGTGCATCTAAACATTAAAATCAATCAAGGACTCATTGTAATACTTTCTAGAGAATATTTCCTCAGAGAAGAAGTTGCTTACCGCCTGTCTTTCACCTAGTTTGGGGAATCTCTGAATATTTGGTCCTGAATTAAATGTATCTGCCCCAATTCTCCACTCGCTCTTGGGGGCGTGTCACTCATTAGGTGGTATTTACCTGAGGGCTGTAGTAGAAGTTCCATTTAGAAAAGTCGTCATCTTCATCCATATCCATGCCCACGGTGCCTACGGCTGGGGAGGCTGCTGAGGTGGAGATGCCTTTCTTGTCTTTCTGGTAGCGCAGATGGAGATCGGTGAACGCTGGGCTTTTGATATTGAGGTGCGCTTTTCCTTCCCATTCCCTGAAAGCAGAAAAACAGATGAGCTATCACGAAAGGGGTATGGAGATGAAGAAAATCACAATGAGTTTTCAAAAGGTATAAGGTTTCAATTCAATAAAAGCTCCATACTGAAGTCCTTCATATTTGCCATCTTCTTCATATTCTGCACTGAAGTCACGGTGTGCAAATGTTCCTTTAGTCTTAGAGGCTAACGTACCATCTTCGATTTTGTGTGTTCCCAAAACTGTATAGGAGAGATTTTGTATTTTATTAGATTCATAACAGTAGGACGTTGATGTTTTCATTGTGAAAACTGGGAGAATTCTATCCTAACCAGATATTTCACTTGTGTTTAAAATATGCAATGTACAGCTCACACTTATTTTAAAATAAATAGTTAAAAGACATTGTTAGTCCTAAAATAATTACAGAAAAATCCATTTTCTTTAAAGCTGTTTGTCTTGAATGACACTAGATTTTCTACAGTTTGGTTTTTACGTGTAGGGTATACATGTATCTCTTTTCTTACTTAAAATTTTGTGACATTGAGTAATTGTACATCTACTCACAACTAAATACATAATTATTTACTCATAACTCTCATTGAAAATATACAGTATCTAGGAGAGGAGGCAGGATATTTCTTACCATTTAGTTCATATTCTAGGAACTGTACGGTTGAGCTGCATGTGGAATCCAGGACTGTTTCAACATAATCTGCTTTGTTTTTCAAACTGGCACTCCAAGTGGCATTATACACGGGAGAGTCTACCTCAAAGCGTGCAGTCAGTGCTTGAAAGGAAGGAATGACAATTCCAGCAGGTACAGAGAACTTAATGGAGGGAATCTCAATGGTCTGCTCAGGCACGATGATGGTGGGCAACTCAAAGTCTGCGATCTTGTTGGCTACTGCATTTAGATCCAAAGCAGCAATGCCATCTGAAACACTTTTTGGAAGCGTGAACTGGGACACAGTTAACTGAGATTCAGGCACGGTTATCTCAAAAAAGGGAATCAAGGAGTCTTCTGGTTGAGAATATTTTGTTAACACATCAACTTCAGGGAATTTTACCTCGGGGAGTGTTGGTAGGTTGAGGGCAAATGATGAAGTTCTCAGCTTCTTATAGATTTGTATTTCTCTGAAGTCAAGTTTGCACGATGGAACCTGAAGATCTGTAAATGGGACATGGAACGTAGGCATGACAAGAACTGAATTTAGATCATTTAGTTTCAGCCCAGGAATAATGAATTTATCAGCCAAAACTTTTACAGGGATGGAGAATGAATAGCCATTGGGGTTTTTGGTGTACACAAAGGCAGTTGAAACACGAAGATGCTGTCTCCTACCAATGCTGGTGGTTACATCCAGCTTTAGGAAATCCCATAAGCTCTTGTCATAGACTGGTAGGATGATATTTTTGAGGAACCTTAGGTGTCCTTCTAAGGATCCTGCAATGTCAAGGTGTGCCTTTTCTTGGTCATTGGAAAGCTCGACCTGGCTCTGGAAAGACCCAGAATGAATCCGGACTTCATTTTTCCATCTGATCTTCTGGTTCTTAGTGTTAGCATTCAGGGCCACTTCCTGGCCAAGGTCAGGGAAATCATGGAAGGAACTGGGCTGACTTGCATGGACCTGAACAAGAGCTGACATTTGCCATGGAGAGAGTTCCAGGGTGGCTTTGCTTGTATGTTCTCCGTTGGTGAAAAAGAGGCCCTCTAGCTGTAAGTGGTTTTTCGTACTGTGCTCCCAGAGGGAATATATGCGTTGGAGTGTGGCTTCTCCAGCAAAATTTTCTTTTACTTCAAGGTTCCAGATATCATCAATTTTGGAAGTGCCCTGCAGCTTCACTGAAGACCGTGTGCTCTTGGAATTCAAGTAAGTGTTGGCCTCACTAGCAATAGTTCCTGAATATTCCCGAGAAAGAACCGAACCCTTGACATCTCCTTTGGTAGATGACTCAATGGAAAAGTAAGAGGTGAGGCTTTCCAAGCTAAGCTTGTGGTCAACTGCTCCTTTAGCGGTAGAGTACAGCATTGAAGAATTGAAATCATACTTAAATTCCATGGAGGAAGAGACAGTAGGTTTTGACTTGGTATTTCCATTAAGTTCTTGCTTGAAATTCATTCTCAAAATTGGAATTTGGGCTTTTGTGGTTGTTGCCACTGACACTTCCATATTTTTCGTGGTTAAGCTCACAGTACTGTTATGACTACCCTCCACAAATTTGTTGCTCAGAGACAGAGCTGTGGCTAACTTCAATCCCCTTTTTCTTGTCAATCTTGTGGTGCCCTCTAATTTGTACTGCAGTGCATCAATGACAGATGAAGATGAAGAAAGGAGATGAGCAACAATATCTGACTGGTTAAAAAGTTCAGCATTGGTATTCAGTGTGATGACACTTGATTTAAAGGAGAAATCATAGGTAATATTGCCCATGGCAGGAATAAAAATATGGCTTATGGTACACAATTCCTTGAAATCTGGAAGAGAAAGCTTGAGATTTCTAGGGACATGAAGGACTGGCAGCTCTAATGATGGCAGGATTAATGTGTATGAAGGCACACGGACGTCAGAACCTAGGATGGAGAAACTAGGCATGCTGACTGCTTTTGGGAACACATAGCCGAATGCCGACATCTCTATGGTGAATGGAGACACTTCAACATTGACAACTGGAACAGTGTATCCAGGAATTTGAAAGGTCCTGGGGAGCTCGTCGTGAGATTTTTCAGCTTTGTACTTATCAAACTTAATTTTTGTTTCATTATAGGATTTGGTGACAAAATCTAATGCATTGTTTCTGTTTTTTTCAAAATGCCTGTCAAAGGATTTGATGCTCTGACTGATAAACTCACAAAGCACAGCCAAAGGATTTGTGATGGAATGCCTGTGTTTGTTTTTCTTATACTGAGCTTTTACACTTAAATCAAATGATTGCTTTGTCGTTTTCAAGAATTCCTTCAAGCCTGTTTTTTCCCATAGAGAGAAATCTTTCAGTGGAGGAGTTGTGATTATTGTGTAAGGTAGACGCATTTCAGGAATTGTTAAAGGAATGTTTAAGAAATCCAGATTTGCTTCTCCATTTATTCCTACATGGGCCTCCATAATGTTCTCGTTGTTTCCAGCAGAGAAATTTTGGTTGTACTTATACTGATTGAACCTAGCACTTACTTGCCAACTTGCTTGCTGGGCACTGGGACTCAGAAACAGTGCATAGTTATTCAGGAAGTCTATCTTCCCTGTTAACCTTAATGGAAAACGAACTTTCAAATTCCCTTCATTGTTTGTGGATGCCGTGATCTCAAATGGCTGGGCTGAAAAGAAAAGAGAATTTTTCAAAGTTCCAATAACCTTTCCATTTAAATGAGCATCATGCCTCCCAGTAAACTCTGCCTTCCCTTCTCCAAACAGTGCCATGCCTTTAGCAGTTAGAACACTGTGGCCCACATGCTGGGAATCGACTTGTGATTGAATTTCAAGTTTAGAAAAGTTGAGGGAGCCAGATTCATAAACCAAGTTTTGGTTTACTCTTAGGTGTTTGCTATTGATCTTATTGGACAGTCCAAAGGAAGTGAGGGGTCCTTCTATGGTGAAACTAATTTGTGATTCATGTGTTCCCTCATCTGAGAATCTGGGGCAGGCCCATTTCCATGACCCTTTTCCAGAAGAAGTCCATGCTATGTGGCCAGCTTTCAACAGTGTCTTGATCTCGTTGCGCAGGTCAGCCTGACTAGAGAAGTCCAGTTTGGGGATGTTCAATTTGTGGAAGTATTTAGTGTTGCTATCCAGGGTAAGCTGATTGTTTATCTTGACAATCACTCCATTACTAAGCTCCAGTGTATTTTTTTCTGTGTGTAAACTTGCCACTGTGTTTGATTTTCCCTCAATAGCATTTCCAAAAAACAGCATTTCACTCCCATGCTCCGTTCTCAGGTACTTGCTGGAGAACTTCACTGACTCCTTCAGAGCCAGCGGATTAATCTTAGGGTTTGAGAGTTGTGCATTTGCTTGAAAATCAAAATTGAGAACTTCTAATTTGGACTCTCCTTTGGCAGTGATGGAAGCTGCGATACCTGCTTCGTTTGCTGAGGTGGTTCCATTCCCTATGTCAGCATTTGCATCTAATGTGAAAAGAGGAGATTGGATTTTCAGAATACTGTATAGCTTGCCAAAAGTAGGTACTTCAATTGTGTGTGAGATGTGGGGAAGCTGGAATTCTGGTATGTGAAGGTCAGGAACTTGAAAATCATTAAGGTTGAGAGTTGGGATTATGAATTCTGGAATTGCGATTTCTGGTAAACGGAAGTCTGGCAGGGTGATTCTCGCTAGAGGAATGTCCTCCACCTTCAGATCCCTGAGATATATATCTGGAACGGGCCACTGCAGCTCACTGTTCAGCATCTGGTCAATGGTTCTGATGATCTTTACTTTCATTTCTACAAAGTCAATTGTAAAGGAAGGAATGTGGAAGGTGTTAAGGATGGTAAATTCTGGTGTGGAAAACCTGGATGGGATTTTTATATTTTTTAAGTCTTTGAAGTTTATCTGAACTGATGGAATCCTCAAATCTGTTAGGGGGACTATAAAATCAGGTGTCTGGAAGGTAGCTTTCTGAAGAGCCTGAAGACTGACTTCAAAGGCAGGCATGGTCCCAAGGATGGTCTTGATTTCAGGAACAGTGAACCCTTGCTCTACCAATGCTTTCATACGTTTAGCCCAATCTTGGATAGAATATTGCTCTGCAAAGTCAGTAAGGTTCTTAGCAGCAAGAGTCCACCAATCAGAAATGTAGGTGACAAGTGTGCTATAAACCTGGCCTACCAGAGACAGGTATCGTTGAAGTTCCTGCTGAATGTCCATTTGATACATTCGGTCTCGTGTATCTTCTAGGGTCTCTCGGAATTTGGCCTTCATGTGAGCCAAAGATGCTGAACTTAAAGCCTCCTGTAACCAATTGATGATTAAGGTTATTTTGGTGTCCTGTAGGCTTTCCAGATACACTGCAACTGTGGCCTTGGTTTCCTCTAAAAACAGTTTTAATGCTTCAGCTTTTTGTGGTAGTTCCAGAGCCTGAATTTCACCATTGAGTCTCTGAGTCACCTCACGGATTTTGTCATTGGTTTCATCTACAAACTGGTGGTAATCAAATGACTTTAATTTCTTTATCAACATGTCAAGGAATTTGTTAACATCTTCAATGAATGTTTTAAAAGATAATTCATTAAGCTTCTTGACAGCATCATCAATAAATCCAACCAATTTCTCAAAGTAATCTTTTATCTTAACTTGTTGTAGGACATTGCTTAGCTTCTGAATAGTCTCCTTCAACTTGTATTGGTGGGCCAACTCTACTAATTTATCCATTAAAACCTGGATTTGTTGGTCTACTTCATACCTCTCGATTAACTCATGGACTTTGGCTCTGAAGGCATTGATTTTCTCAGCTACTTCAAAATCCCCAATAAGATTTATAACAAAGTGTTTGACATGCTCAAGAACGTCATTTATTCTTTCAAATGAAATTGTAGTTCCCAATTGATCTAAAAGCACTCTAACATCAATAGCCTCAATGTGTTGTTTTAACTTTCCAGCTAGGTGCTGGATGTCTATATTCTGTATGTGTCTCTTAAGCTGCTGCAGTTTTTCTTGTATCTGGATTCTGATTTGGTACTTAGTATCCACATTTTGAATCCAGGATGCAGTACTACTTCCACTTTTGTTAAAATCAATATTTTCAATAAACAAATGTAGATCATGGATTGTTTTTACTAAATTTACACGGATATGATAGTGCTCATCAAGACTTTTTAATTTTTCAATGATTTCATCAATAATATTAGCAATAGCTATTTTCAAATCATGTAAATCATAACTATCTTTAATATACTGATCAAATTGTATCATATATGTCTGCAGTTGAGATAGTTTTTCATTAAAGTTGATTTTGGCATCATCTAATGCAATTTGTATATCATTTTCTGTAATTCTATACTTTTTTGTGAGAGCAGTCAGTTTCTCCTTGGCATGTGAAACTTGTCTCTCCCAATTGAATGAATTCAGATAATCATTAGCTTGCTGTGGGAGTTTTCCCAGGGCTGCTCTGTATTTTCTTACAAATTGATCAATATTGATGTGCTTCAGGTTTCTCTGTACGTTTTCCAGTACAACTATAATGGTTTGTCGATTCCTCTCAAAATATTCTTGCAAGGTCTCAAAAAATGGGAGGTTAATGGAGTGAACATCTTGGTTTTTATCATACTTTACAAAAGCAACAATTGTAAATTCTTGGGGCTTCTCAACGGCATCTCTCATCTCTAAAGCATCAATGATATTGATGGGCTCACTGAGTAAAAGTGGCACTTTAATTGGGGAGTCTAGTAGAGTTAGGTCAGCCAGAGTTCGTCCAGTAAGCTCCACGCCAATTTTATCTTTAGTGTTGTAAGCATCCAAGTCCTGGCTGTATTCATTGTTGTTAAATTGGGTCTTGAGTTTCCAGGTGCCTGTCTGCTCAGCTGGAGTAAGCAGGGCACTGACTTTGTGTTCAAGAGCTGCACTGATGCTTTTCCTAGACACGAGATGATGACTTGTGGAGCCTTTGTAATCATGAGAGAAAGTAAATGCCAGAGGTTCTGCTTTCAACAGGAATTTGCTATACAGCTGCCCAGTATGTTCTCCCCAGAGAGCGAGTTTCCCATTGCCATTTGTATGTGCATCGATGGTCATGGTAAACGGGGCCATTACAGAACGGAAGACATTGCTGAAATGCAGTGAGTCTGAATTATAGTTTGTGCTCATGTCAATGGCTGAAGCCAGCCCAGCGATGTCTGTGTTGAGCCGATGGCTAAACTCCACACCCTGAACCTTAGCAACAGTGTCTGCTTTATAGCTTGCTGATAAGGCAGCAGAAGAGATGGCATAGATGTGTTTTATTTCATTATTTTGGTAGGCTCCTTTTAGGTTACCAGCCACATGCAGCTTCAGGGGTTCTAGCCGTAGTTTCCCATTGTTGGTGAGATCCAGAGCATTGTATTTCAGGTCACTGTTTAAAGTAGTTACCAGAGAATAGGGCTGTAGCTGTAAATTAACAGTTTGCTTATAAAACTTGTCAGAGCTGTAAATGTTGTCAAGTTTTGAAGAGAAGTCCAGTGATAAGCCTGCAATGTTCAGACTGTTTGTGTGGTCAAATTTCATTTCAGCATATGAGCCCATCATGTCATTTGAGAGCTTAAGTCCTTCTTGACTGACCTTGAAGTTGAAAATGTTTTTGCTGTCGACACCCAGAATCATGGCCTGATAAGCACTTCCCAGTGATAGCTCTGTGAGGGCGGCTTTCCCATCCAGACTGAATTTTGCATTGTGTTCCCTGAAGCGGCCATTTGTTGTTAATTTCATAGATGCCCCAGAGAGGCCAAGCTCTGCATTCAGCTCATTCTCCAGCACCAGGAGACTACACTTCAAGTTGGTCGTTGCACTGGTAGATATTCCATCTTGGCCAATCCTTAGTGTCGCCTTGTGAGCACCACTATTAATTTTGTCAGTGCCTAAGATGTCAGCATTTAACTCAAGACCATGGGAATTTAGTGATCCAGAAAGCAGGCTGAAGAACCTCAATGACTCGTAATCAGCCTGATATTCAGAACGCAGCAGTGCATTTTGCTTAGAGAAGGTCATATCCATCTTGTTAGAAGTGGCAAAGTTCTTATACTTCCCATTGGTGTCAGATTTTAAAGTCAGCTCGTAGTTCTCATACTTTAGGGAAGCAGTATTTTTAATGATGCCACTTTGCAGATCAGAGGTGGAGGTGAGGGAGAGGGTTCCATCTTCATATCTTCCTGTTATCTGGTTGGTGCCTTGGAGGTAGGAGGAGTTAAACCTCAGGTTGGACTCTCCATTGAGCCGGCCAGTGTTAGGATCCCTCTGACAAGACAGGCCATATGTGCCTTTAGCATAGAACGAAGAGACTCTGAACTGCCCATCAATCTTGACTTCTTTGACAAACAAATGCTGTTTCTTTTTGGAGTCCAAATGAACTGAAGCAGACATCTGTGGTCCCCAGGAACTAGATGCATCGAATATTAGTAAACCTTTTGAGACTGGGTTGTTTCCAAGTTTTTCTACATGACTGAATTTGATATTCGAATCTAGAAATTTGTGGCGTAGAGACCCATCACATGATAGTGTGAACGTATTCTTGTGGTCATATGTTGTTTCTCCAGATCCTAACATAAAAATGAAAAGACATTGGTTAAATTAAGCAGTACATTTCCAGAGCAATCTCTATGTTGAAAGTCTTTCAATAATAAAGCCCCATTTTTCTGGGCCAATTGTGCAATAGACTCCTCCATCTGTAATGCAAAGATAAAATCTGATAGCAAAAGGCATTCCTCCAGGAAGCCTTGCCTGACCACCACAGGCTTTGTTTAGGTTCCCTTGTTGAGTGCTTCCACTCTACCTTATACTTATATACTACACTTTATCATAGCACCTCTCACACTGAATTATAATTGCTGGCTTATCTGTCTACTTTCTGTTACTGCCTACTAGAATATTTAATACACGTGATATGTTTAATAAATATTTCTATTTGTTGAATAAAATAAAAGACTTCCAAGTAGCAAGGAAGATTATCTGCTAGAAAGCCAAAGTCCTTTCCTCCCTGGAGGAGGCTCTCCTCTTAGAGCCTGCCATGAACTAGCCCGGTGCACCCTTTACCTGAGCATAGCTCACCTTGCACATTGTAGGAAAGCAGGTCAACCACAGAGTCAGCCTTCATGTGGTAACGAGCCCGAAGGCTGAAATGGTCTGTGCTGGTGTTGCCACCACTGTAGGAGGCGGACCAGTTGTACAAGTTGCTGTAGACATTCGTGGAGAGGTCTAGAACACCCAGGAGAGGCACTTGCAGTTGATACAACTTGGGAATGGTAAAAGTAGGGACTTGGAACTCTCGAGATGGCAGATGGAATCCCACAGACTTGAAGTGGAGGGCTGGTGTCCTAACAGTCTCTAACATCTTTAGATCTCTGGAGGATTTGCCACCAAAAGGCAAAGGAATCTCAATTTTCAAACTGTTCTTGTTCAAGGTATATTTGACCCGGCCATCGCTGAAATGAACAACAAAGATAACATCCCCACAGTCAGACATCAGTCATTCAAAGTTCTCTGCCTCTGACCTTCACAACAATATTGTACTTGCCCCATTCCCAAAGCCACTCTGCACTTTTCTTTGTGCTACTCCTATGCCTGGACCCCTTTGCTTTTACCTCCACCTGTCAAACACTCAAATCCTGACAAAGCTCTTCTAAGGGCCACTCCTTATCATTACCATCCCACCTAAGTCATAGCCAATTTGTCTCATTCTTACAGTTACATAGTCCCTTGCACCTTTCTCAAAGAGCATGTCATAATTTTGCTTATATAATTAATTATTTCTCATTTGTTGATGTCTCCATGGTATCTTCTTGAAAGAAAAGGCTATACCTTACCCAGTTTCTATCTTCTCACTGTACCTAGTCTAGCATTTTGCACATAGGGGATACTTGATACAAATTTGCTAAACTGAATTGAGACAACTTGATTTGTGGAAAGAACATAGGTATGGAAGTCAGTAAGCCTGGGTTAAAGTATTTTCTCAGAATGCTGCCTCCATTTAGTGCTCAATGGCTGTTCTGACTCTCTCTAGCTTAACAGCAAGCCTGTAGTCAATAACGCCTCTAGCCATTCTGAATTCTTCACAGTCAGAGGGAGAATTTGCTTATAACAGGTTGTACTGAATAAAATATCTTAGGGTGAAAGTACCAGAATCCTCTAATGACTTTCTTAGATTCTTCCTGACAGGGTTGGTGTTCTCATGTTTACTAATGCAAAGATGCCACAGTGTTTGTGCTATAGTTATTAATCTCCTTAAAATGCTTAAATTATTTCCTTTAAAAATTTAAAAAAATGTCTAAATCATGCTATGTAAAATCTTTCATTTACTTTGCATGGTTCAAGAAGCCTTGCTGCTTTCTTCTTTTACCTTTTTAAGAAGAGGTTTTCTGGGATGTGGAAGTCTGGCAATCCCATGTTCTGGAGGTTGAACTCCTTCAGGCTATTGAGGTGGTCTTGCAAAGTCTGGGTATAAGGAAGACTCCCAGATGCCTTCTGAAGCCATGAGCTCATTGCCTACAAAATGACAGGAGATTTTTAAGGTAATGGGCTTGGATGAGCCTCAAAGAGCAATGAACATTAGGCAAAAATACCGATTTGACAAGTTAATTATTAAGCTGGACAATGCACTGAAAGTTAAAAATAAATAACAGAAAATTATGAATCTTCGTTGCCAGTCACTGATCACTGTCCATATTTATAAAAGGAATGTCTAACATAGTCAGCCTCCTAGCTGGTGTCCTGAAGCTTCCTTTGATACCACTAGGCAAAGAACTGTTCTACTTAGTAGCATCTCTTTGATATGTATCACATTCAGCTTTGTGTAACTGGGTAACTACACACTTGTGAAAGTTTTTTTTTCTCCCCAAGAATTCCCTGGGGGGAAGGAAGCATGCCTTATACATCTTTGGAAACCTTCCTGCACCTAGCTCAGAGTTGAGGATGTAATTAGCACTTATATCCATGTATTTATTGACTGGCAGACTCATACTTACAACTATTAATTTGGAACCCACGTGCCGGAAAGTCATGTCTGTTTGAGGGACTCTGTGATCCAGGAGTCTATTAGCATACATATGCAAGCTCTTAGGATAATCGGAGAGATCCACAGGGAAATTGGAAGTCATTTTTTTGGTATCTACATTGGTGCCTGTGTTCCATTCAAATTCAATCTTCTCTTCATCTGAAAATACGTAGGAAATAGTTGTGAATGGTACTAGTTCAGCCTGTAACCACAGGTCTCAACACCTGCATTACTTTGGAAGTGCTCACACAGGGGAAGAGACACATACCATAATGCCATGCCACCCTCTTGGAAACTGTGGAGCCATAAGCTGTAGCAGATGAGTCCATTTGGAGAAGCAGTTTGGCAGGCGACCAGTGGGCGAGGATCTCACTTCTGGCTTCTGCTTGCAAACGGGGTATGGAAATAACACCCTTGATTTTTCTTTCTTCCTTTGTGTCACAACTATGGTAAAGAAAATCAGTTGGCACCAATGATTTTGTCCTTTCAATGGAGATATGCAGGATTAAACAGAAGTTCCATTTGTGGTGATCAAAACCAGATACAAGGATGGTTCAGAGAAACAGCCACAGATCAAACTCATCAACTTCTAAAGCCAACATTCAGCACAAATTAAGGACTTTGCAAACAGGTTTAGGAGAAAGAGAAGTTTTTTGAAAACTGTTTGAATCCTGCTCTGCTATTTACTAGCTCTGTGATTTTGACCAAATGATTTAACCCCTCTGAGCTACCATTTCCTTATCCATGAAACAGGAAAACTCACAGTGACCTCGCAGTTTATTGTGAGGACCGAGATAATTTCTTTAAAGCACCCAGCACTGTGCTTGATACATGAATAGTAAGTGCCTGATAAATGGTAGGAAAATCCAACTGGACATGCGCAGAGGGTTAAAATGTTGAGAGCTTGGCCGGGTGCAGTGGCTTACACCTGTAATCCCAGCACTTTGGGAGGCCAAGGCAGGTGGATCACGAGGTCAGGAGATCGAGACCATCCTGGTCAATATGGTGAAACCCTGTCTCTACTAAAAATATAAAAATTAGCTGGGTGTGGTGGCATGCACCTATAGTTCCAGCTCCTTGGGAGGCTTAAGCAGGAGAATCACTTGAACTCGGGAGGCGGAGGTTGCAGTGAGCCGAGATTGTGCCACTGCACTCCAGCCTGGTGACAGAGTGAGACTCCATCTCAAAAAAAAAAAAAATTGTTGAGGGCTCTCTCTGCCACTCTGATTGTAGACTAGGGGAGAACATGGCTTGGTCAGGTATGAAGTGGAAGAGGAATAATGAAAAGAACCACCCAGGCCTGCAGTGCAGGTCAGATGACCCTCGGCCTTCTTTACCTTAGGTGGCCCATGAGGGCGACCTCAGTAATTTTCTTGTTCTGAATGTCCAGGGTGAGTCTGTAAGACGTTTTGCCCTCAGTAGATTCATCATTAACTCTGAGGATTGTTCCGAGGTCAACATCAAAATCCGGAATTTGGACTTCACTGGACAAGGTCATACTCTGCCGATTATATTTGAATGTCATGGTAGCCTCAGTCTGCTTCGCACCTGGACGAGTGTATAAGAGAATCAAGAGATGTGTGGTAAGAAGCTATGTTTTGGGCCGGGTGCGGTGGCTCACACCTGTAATCCCAGCACTTTGGGAGGCCAAGGCGGGCAGATCATGAGGTCAGGAGATCAAGACCATTCTGGCTAACATGGTGAAACCCCGTCTCTACTAAAAATACAAAAAATTAGCCGGGCGCGTTGGTGGGTGCCTGTAGTCCCAGCTACTCAGGAGGCTGAGGCAGGAGAATGGCATGAACCCGGGAGGCGGGGCTTGCAGTGAGCCGAGATGGCACCACTGCACTGCAGCCTGGGCAAAAGAGCGAGACTCCATCTCAAAAAATAAATAAATAAATAAATAAATAAATAAACAAACAAATAAATAAATAAATAAATAAAGAAGCTATGTTTTGGAAGGAAAGAGAGGAAAAGGTAGAGAAACTCCAAGGAATCAATGTGCTTAAACAAAAACACAGTTCAGGATTTTACTGAATTTTTTTTTTCTCATTAAAATTTTTTAATGGGTCTCATTTACTGATAATTTTAAACTCAGTTGTGTTCATGTATGCAAGTCTTTATGGATTGCCTGTTATGAGCCTATTGTGTGCTGGGCACTGCTCTTGGTACTGGGGAATCCTTGCTTTCATGGGGCTTACCTTCTAGTGGGGGAGGTGTACAGGCAATAAACAAGTAACTTGCTCATGTCAGATGGTAATGAATGTTATGAAGAAGAGTAAAACTGGATACAAGGATAAAAGAAAGGGATAGAAGAAGTGTTATTTCATACTTGGTGGTCAGAGAAATTCTCTCTGATAAGGGCACATGTGGGCAGAGACCAGAATGAAAAGAGGTTGGAGCCACGCTGAGTTCTGGGAGGAGCACATTCCAGGCAGAAGGTCAGGAATGCAAAGGCCCTGAAATGGGGAGCACTTAGCTTGTTTGTGGAACAGCAAAGGCTCGCAGCCCTTCTGGGCCAGGAAGACACGACATCTCTATATTACTTTCTACCCAAGATGCCTGTCCTGGTTCCTTGCTGCCCTTGCCCTGGGCTCCATCTCCCCAACTCCCCCTTTCTTTGTAACAAGATTCCCGGGCGTCCTTCAATCCATAGGCTGGTCCATTTTATATCCTTCGTAAAACAATGTTTACCAAACACTATTTCCCCAGCGTGCCCTGCTCCTCCAGTGCTTTCTATCATGGGATTTTCTTCCTAGTTTAATTCTGTGATATGCTATCCCTATATAAAAATTTTTCCAAAGTGAACACCTAAATGTGCCCCATTCCCTAAAACCTGCTCCTCGCTATCCCTATATAATTTTTTTTCCAAAGTGAACACCTAAATTTCTCCCATTCCCTAAAACCTGCTCCTCCAGTAGCCCTTTCCATCTCAATAAATGGAAGTTCCATTTTTCAGTTGCCCGGGCCAAAAACCTTAGGTTTGTCTTCATTCCCCTTTTCCTCTTACACTCAACATCCACTGTATCAGCAAATCTTGTCAGCCTAATCTTCAAAATATGGCCAGAATCCATCCCCTTCTCATATCTCTTCTGCCATTGCCCTGATCCAAAACAACACTGATTCCTGCCTGGATTATTGTGATAACCTACATATTAGTTTCTCTGCCCTTGTCTGCCCATAGTCTTTTCTCAACATAAACATAAATCAAATCATGAGGACTCCCCAATGGCTTTCGTTTAATTCATAGAAAAAGCCAAAGTTCTTACCATGGCCTATGAGATTATCCTTCCTTCACCTCTCCATATCTCTCTGTCCTCATCTTCTACCTCTTTTCTCCCTGGTCTTTCTGCTCCAGCCATACTGTCTTCCTTCCTTTCCTTGAAACATGGTAGTAGTGTGTCAGCCTCAGGGCCTTTGCACTTGCTGGTCCCTCTGCCTGTTAACAGTCTTACCACACGGCTTCTCCTCTTATTTCTGATAGGTCTCCTTATGCTCACTTTACCAGGGAGACTTTCCCTTATTATTCCAAATGCACTGCTTTCCCTGCCCTTCTTCCTCCCTCCTACTCCTAGCCCTCCATAGACCAGTCTACGCTCTGTTTTCCTCCTCAGTACTTATCTGATATTCCAAATATTAACTTGTTTGGTTGTTCACTGTAACTTCCATGAAGGCAGAGACTCCATTGTTCACTGTTCTAGCCCCAGGTCTTAGAATAGGCCTGCCGCTTATTGGGTACTCAGTTAACCCAGGTCTTAGAATAGGCCTGCCGCTTAGTGGGTACTCAGTTAACCTATTTGTTAAATAGGTTAAATTACATGTCTTCTCCTCATGAATTCTGAACCTGAGACTGCGAGCAGAGATGAGGCAGCTGTGTTTTGAATACTCACCTTCTGCTTGAGTTACAAACTTCAGGGTATCCACCAAGGCTCTGTCCTCTCTCTGGAGCTCATAGGTTGCGCTGACAGAATACTGCTCAATCTCTCCTGTAGGCCTCAGTTCCAGCTCTAATCTAAAGACATTACAATGAAGACAGTGCATAATGTTAGAGCTTTCAAGGATGGTGATTATGTTCCCAAAACAATTCAGCCTCAAATGCAACAAAAATATGGTCCTTATTTTAACATTGTCTCTTGCCCTTAACTAAGATGATCTTTTTGATCCCTCAGTCCTACAAGAACCCAAGGCAAGGGCAGACACCAGGATTCCCAAGACTTTGGACAAGCAGAGCAGGAGTTGGCTGGTTGTTTCAGCAAAGCTGAGAACAAGCACTGGAACTTGGGGGCTGAAGACAGGGAGCCACCTAAGTACGGTGAAGGCTTCAAGCACATTGGTGGGCTCCAGGAAGCTCATAGCGATGGGTCTGGAGGCTCAGAAACATGGACACTGAATTAGGAGCAAATTGGGATCTGTGCTGTGATCCCATCCCATGCACAAGGAAGCAAAAGGTGACACCCAATGTGTTGGCCAGAGGACCCTGCTTTAAATACCCAAAGATGGTGCAAACCCAGAAGGCTAGTGACAGGGTCTTACAACACAGAGTATTTTTTCCTGTGCCATGCTAGGTGGCCATGATGTGGAAGGTGAGAAAATGCTGGGTCAGGCACTGAGCATCTCTAACCTGGTGTCCCCGGTCAGCGGATAGTAGGAGGCGGAGTCTGTGGAGCTGGCGTTGGAGTAAGCGCCTGAGGTGCAGTAATTCAGGCCAGGAAAGACTTGCTTGCAAACTGACCAGGACTGCCTGTTCTCAATGAGAGGTGGGATCACCTCCGTTTTGGTGGTAGAGACCAAATGTAATGTGTTGCTGGTGAAGAACAAAAATACCTGAGTTATTGCCAAGTCATGAATCAAAATGGACATCACAAATTCTCAGGGTGCAAATACCCCCTTATCCTCCTGTCTTCCCTCAGTCCACACCTATCTCTAACTATTTAATTTACTGAGAAACAAATAATATTAGAAAGAACATCAACATGACAAGCCATGAGAGTGACTCTGAAGCTTCTGGCTGAGTTCTTTCCATCTGTTACCTGTAATCCCCACAACAGTAGGCTTATGGTTCTCATTTTACAGAAGCAGAGGCTCAGAGATGTTAAATAGCTGATCACTGGGGCTGAACTTCAGTGTGCCCCTTCCTTCCTACAATGCAGGGCAAGAGAAACTGTCTCTTTCATATGAAATCTCCTACTCTCTACCTGCTTCCTTCCACCTGCATTAAGCACGCTCAAGTCTCTTCCCCTGTGCCCCTCCCCTATGCTCCTTTCTTTCTTTTCTTGCTTTCTCATCTTCCTCACCATCAAGAGTTGTCTGCCTTTGCAGTCTCTACTTCCTCCCAATGTGCTCTGACTGCTCACTCCATCTCCTGAAAATGCTTTCATCAATGTCTCTAATGCCCTCCTTGCTCCTACATCCAATGGGCATATTTAGGTTTCATCTTCCTTGACCTCCCAGAAGCCTTCCATAGAGTTGCGCACTCATGACCAGACTAAGACGCTGGAGCCTCTCACATCTGAAGAGATGATGGCACCTTCCTTCCAAGTGTGTACTTAAAAACTTAGTACATGTAAGAAAGTTCAACATTGGCCTGGTTTTTTCTAAGGATGCTTTCTTTGAAATAGCACATTTTCCTCCAAGTATTGTTTCTCCAAGTTGGGGGTGCCACAAGACCAAGCTTTGCTGATGTGCTGGAGTCCTAATGCCAGCTTTCGCCTACCCATGGGGTGATCTCCCCTGTGGCTGCTCTTTGGCTTCTGTGACCTTTTATGGCTTTGGTTCTCCTTCTGCTTCTCTGGTCACTTCTTCTAACTCATTGCTGGTTATTCCCCTTCTTCCTTTATATGTTTGTCTTCTCCATATTTCTGTCCTCATCTCTCATGTCTCACTCTATACCAGTTGCTGTTTAACCACAACAACCTCTGTATACTAATGATTCCCAAATCCATATGTGGAGCCCAAGCCTCTTTACTGGGCTCAGATCCATAGGTCTATTTGACAGCTAGATTTCTAAACTGGTTGTTTCATAGGAGGACATCAAATACAGCACATCCAAAACTGAATTTGTCACTTTCCTTGAAACCAGAAGCTCTCCCACTGTAGTTCTTATTAAAATGAAGGGCGCCTCCTTCCTCTTTTCTTCTTTCTTTTGCCTTGTCCCCATACCCAGTTAATCACCCAGTACTTATGATTCTGCCTCTTAGAAAGTTGTAGAATCTGCTCACTCCTTTCTATACCTGGCTTTTCTCCACTGCAGGCCATTATCAGCTCTTAGCCACATAGGATCGTAAGAGATGTCCAATGGTCTCTTCGTGTCCAGCTGTGCCTCCTTCTCACCCATCTTCCACACTAGAGTCAGAGTATTTCTTCTAAAACATCACCCCTATCTTATTTCTGCTCCCCTTTTCAACTCCTGTGCCTTCAAAAGAGTCCAAACTCCTTAGGATGGCTTTCGCAGCTGGGCATGCTCTCTCCCCTGCCTACCTCTCCCCATCATCTCTGAGCCCCTTACCATTCTGCACTTCTTCCAGTTCCTTGAACCATATTCCTTTACCTTCAGGCCATTACATGCTTTTCCTTTTGCCTGGAACACTCACTCCTTTCTCCTTTGCCTAAATGACTCTGACACAGTCCTCAGTTATCAGGTCAAGTACACTTGCTTCAGAATGCATTCCCTGACTAGCACAGGCTACATGATATAAAATTTCATGGTACTCTAATACTTTCTATAACTTAGCCCTTACTCTATGATTACTGCTTGCTTAATTGTGTGTCTCCCTTATAAAATGTAAGCGTTCAAAGGTCAGGGACCTTGTGTGTCTCACTCAACATACGTGGTATATATTAGGCAATTAAATATACTATTTTTTGTTTTTTGTGAGACAGGATCTTGCTCTGTCTCCCAGGCTGGAGTGCAGTGGTGCAAGCATGGTTCACTGAAGGCTTGAACTCTTGGGCTCAGTTGATCCTCCCATCTCAGCCTTCTGAGTAGCTGGAGCTACAGGCATGTGCCACCACGACTGGCTAATTTTGTTATTTATTTAATTTTTTTTGTAGAGATGGGGTTTTGCCATGTTGCCCAGGCTGGTATCCAAACACCAGGGCTCAAGCGATCCATCCACCTGGGGCTCCCAAAGTGCTAGGATTACAGGCATGAACCACCGTGGCTGGCCAATTAAATATTATTTTTGAATGAACACATGAATGTGTCTAAAATATGAAAACTAAGGCAAATCAATGGTTGAGGGTGCCACTTAAAATGGAACTCTCCAAAAGAGGCTGTATTCCATTATCACGAGGTTAGGAGTTTCATGCTTTACCTACCTAGCTACCTCAAATCAATATGTTCTTAGGTATTTTTTGGGGGGGAAAATATTAATTTTCCAAAGATGATCTCTCCAGAGCTATTGTTTCTTCATTCTCAAAACAAATAGATAACAAAAAATCACAACTTAATAAAAACTAATTAAGCAGTAGGTCTTAATAAGTCTCAAAGCAGAAAGATAAAGGACAGTTTAGTAAAATGTGAAAAGTAGAAGAAAGGTAATTATGTAGTTATGTAGTAAGTCTAGGCTAGAATTAAAATAGGTAACCCGGAATCTTTCCTTTCTACTCCTCTCCTGCTTCCTCAGGACCTGAATGATCTCAATCAACTGTTTAGCCTGGCAAAATTCTGCAGGTACATTCTCTGTTCTCTCTTTCAAACTGGCTAGGCAGACTTGGCTGAAAGAATTACCCTCCACTGAGCAGCTTGACTGGTCTCTTTGGGGAAGGAATGATAAACTTCAGCTTCCCAGCTTTTAGGGCAACATGAGCCTCCAGACCCGACTCGTGGAAGAAGTTGGTGTTCATCTGGACCCCACTCCTAGCGAAGTCCGGAATGATGATGCCCATATTTGTCACAAACTCCACAGACACGGAGGGTTTTGCCACCAGTTCAGCCTGCATCTATAAGTCAGAAAACAACCTATTCAGATTCATTAAATACTTCAGTCCCCTGTCAGTCAGATCAACCACCCTTTCTCACCTCCGGGCAAAGATTTCCTGGATAACTCAGACCTTTGGAAACATTACTGGGATTTGTTTGGAAGAAGGAAAGCGAGTTCTCAGTTCTCTAGAGTTGGAGTATACTACCCAGAACTAGAAAGCACCTGAGTTAACGTGAGGCAAAACCAGATTAAAAAGATGATAGGAATACTCATTTGTTGAGAGAACTGAGTTCTTGTCTTATGGCCATACCACTACTGGAGCTAGTGAGGTAGTGCATTCTGGTGGAAGCTTGAAGTTTTTCATAAAAAAATAATGAGGTGATTACAATGATGAAGCATTTTGTCTTGAAGTGGAAACACATTTTTAAATATGTTTTAACAAGAAATGCACCCTGGAAGAAAGTAATAACCTAAGAAATCAAAAGGCAAACAGAATCTTACGTTGGCTACTTCCAGTTTTACTCCAGCCTTGGCTCCGGGAGCAATGACTCCAGATGAAGATATTTGCAACTGTAATCCAGCTCCAGTGGGGAGTTCAAAGGCATTCTCCATGAAGATGTAGTGAAGAAAAAAGTCATTCTTTGAGCCCTTCCTGATGACCTCTCCAATCTGTAGACCCAACAAGGGAGAGCAAATAAAAGTAAGTCTTTTTAAAGTCGGTTTTGTTAATTACAACCTCCCATACATTGGAGAGTAATTCCTCTTTATCTGGAAAGGAAGGACTAGCATATTTTGATGAGCTGAATAGTTTGATAAATAAAGATCAAACTGATGTTTTTACCGTTTTCAGTGAATCAGGATATAAGAAATTTCACTAGATAGATATCATGTCATTTTCAAGTGGACTCAGAAGGCTCTTAAGAATATTGCTGGGCCTCAGAGCTTTATGGACTTTAAGTATCATATATGCCATGGCTTAATTCTGGTGTTCTGGAGTCTGACTGTAAGTGAAGGTGTACTTGAAATGTATTATATTATGATAAAATCAATTTTTTGAAACCAAAGGCCTATTGAGATGATGTACATATCAATTTGCATTGGGTTTTATTTTTTAAATAATATTTCAATAAAATAGCTTGAGACCTGTTTTCTTAAAGTCAACATTTTTTTAATCAAGCCATAGGAGTACATTTATATATTTCCTTTTATGAATTAATAATAAAAATTATAGCATATTTAGATAGTGAATTATAGTTTGCCAAATACTTTCTTTTATAATCATTGTATCATTTCAATCTTAAAAGGACCTTCAGGTCAGGTGCAGTGGCTCACACCTGTTATTCCAGCACTGTGGGAGGCCCAGGCTGGAGGATCACTTGAGGTCAGGAGTTCGAAACCAGCCTGACATGGTTGTCAACAGGCTTGTCTCTACTAAAGATACACAAATTAGCCGGGCATGCTGGTGCACGTCCACAGTCCCAGCTACTTGGGAGGCTGAGGCAGGAGAATTGCTTGAACCCGGAAGGCAGAGTTGCAGTGAGCCGAGATTGTATCACTGCACTCCAGCCTGGGAGCAAGACTCCATCTCAAAAAATTAAAAAAATAAAAATAAAAATAAAAGGACCTTCAGCAAAGGTAGAGGAAGGTATACCGAACATTGTTTTCCAGATGAATAAATTAATGCTCTTAAAAATACAGCTAACATTATGAATAGCTTAATTTCTAAATGTTAACATTTCCATGTGATCCAAGAGTCATCTTCAGTGAAATTCAAGGCAAACCTCCATCTCTGAAGAAAGTACAAGCATCTTTTCGGGCTTGTGCAGCTGGGATCGTAAGGGAGTCTGGGCGATCTAAAAAAAAACCAACGTCTGGTCTCATGGGCCCCCAGTGGGGCCTGCTGACTTACCATCTGGGGGATCCCCTGCAGAGTGCGGGCACCCATCAGAAGCAGCTTTCCCAGGAGCTGGAGGTCATGGAGACTGGCAAAACCAAGCTCCTCTCCCAAGATGCGGAGGTAGGCTCTGGCTTCCGGGACTTCTTTGGATTTCAAATCTTTAATCAGCTTCTCAACACTGAGCATTATTCCATTTACCATATCCTGAGAGTTTAGTAATAAAATGGCCAGTGAGATGTCAGCAATGTCAAACACCTTTCAGTTCCCAATGTGGGACCTGTCTGATGCAGCCAGGATGGGCCTAAAAAATGCTCCAGGTGAGGAACAGGGAGACACTGAAGTCCAGGCTAATTCCTCTAAGCAGAGATTAAAGAACTAAGGTCTTGTCAGGGATAGTGGCACTCCTAAAGCTATTCTTAATTAAAAAATCTGTAGACATAGTAAGATGTGGTGGGATGAGAGGAGGGGTCCCTATTCTCCAGTATGCCAGGATCCTCAAGATTAGAAGATCCTCTATCCCCCACCCGTTCCCTGCTTAGCCTTCTCTTCTTTGACCAGTGAAGACTACAAGGTGTTTCTTAAGAAAATGTAGCTGTTATATAAATTCACCAGAAGTTTGAAAAACACTTGATCCTAGACAAGTTCTTCTCAGAGAGAAGAAGAATCTCAGAGATGGATGCCCAGGCATTGGGAAAAAAAAAATGTGAAACTGACAGACTCAAAGCAGATCAAAGATCCTCGGCCTCAAGTGGGGGTCAGGAAATTAGAAGATGGAGCTCGTGCTCAACAGTGAGCCTGGAGGGGTAAATTACTGCCTTGCTCTGCAAAGTTGAATGTGCATACAAGTCACATGAGGTCTTGCTAAAATGCGCTTCTGATTCAGTAGATTGTGGGTGAAGCATGAGAAGCTGTATTTCTGACCAGACCACACTTTGGGTAGCAAAAAATTCAAGAATAAGCTCCAGATCATACAACCTATTTCCCTCCTTAAATGGGGGCTCATTGCTAGCTTCAAAGTGGAAGTTTGGTCTCATTTGCTAGTGCACTGATGGGAGTGAGAGCCAAAGACAGCAGTTAATAATAATGAAAATATTAATTTAGAACTCGTAATAGTGTCTGCTTATTGAACAACCAATGCCAGCATCAGGCACTGTGCTTGGCATTTTAGATGCCTTATTTCATTGTCTTTAAATAACCTTGTGAGGTTTGGACTGTTATTAGTAGTCTGGGATACAGACAGAAACAGATACACATAATATCAACCAACTTCCCCAAGTGCGCACAGCTTCAAGACAGGGAAGTTAGAATTAAATCTATGCCCAGAGTTCATACTTTTTTTTTTTTTAAGATACAGTCTCACACTGTCACCCGGGCTGGAGTGTAACGGCGTGATCTCGGCTCACTGCAACCTCCACCTCCCGGGTTCAAGCAATTCTCCTGTCTCAGCCTCCCGAGTAGCTAGGATTACAGGCACCCACTACCATGCCCAGCTAGTTTTTTTGTATTTTTAGTAGAGACGGGGTTTCAGTATGTTGGCCAGGCTGGTCTCAAATTCCTGACCTTGTGATCTGCCCACCTTGGCCTCCCAAAGTGCTGGGATTACAGGCATGAACCACCACACCCAGCCCAGAGTTCATACTCTTGTTATCCTAGAGTACTTATTGTGAGTCTGGTTTCTGGGCACACTGAATTCAGGAGATCTTTAACTGCAGAGGATACTGGCCCTTACCCCAGCAGGTCTGGTTGATAAAAACCATAGTTATCCCTTCAGTTAGATAGTATTTTGAGGACTTCCATGCTTAGAAAAGAATTGTTTTTGCATTGAGACCCAAAGCTTTCCTTAAGAAGATACTTCACAAATACACACCTGCTCATGTTTATCATCTTTGGTATAGCCAAAGTGGTCCACTAAGACCTTAGAGACACCATCAGGAACTTGACCATTAACCCAGTACAAAGCTTTGTTGACACTGTCTGGGAAAAATCCTTGCTTCCCAAAAAGAGCTTCCAATGTTGGCTCAAAGCCTTTTCCTTCCAAGCCAATCTGAGAAAGAAAATCAGACAAGAAAATGGCATCAGGTTTCTTTGTTGTATGCCAGCCTAGTAGTCCCCACTCTTGATGTCCATTTATCTAAACAAGTATTTGAATACCACAGGCCAGGAGCTGACCTTAGCATTTCACAGGAGCTGCTTTATTAAAATCTCACTAGAATCTTGACCTTATTACTTGCTTTTTTCTAGAAGAGGCAGCTAAGGTTCAGATAGGACAAATAATTCAACAAAGGATTCAGAGTTGGGAGTGATTTGAGATTTGAAGCAGATCTGACTAGGCAGCACATATGCTTCCTTGGCTTTGGGACTTAAAGACGAGACATTTGCATTTCAATTTTTTTTTTTTTTTTTTTTTTTGAGATGGAGTCTTGCTCTGTCGCCCAGGCTGGAGCGCAGTGGCGCAATCTCTCGGCTCACTGCAAGCTCAGCCTCCTGGGTTCACGCCATTCTCCTGCCTCATCCTCCCAAGTAGCTGGGACTACAGGTGCCTGCCACCACGCCCGGCTAATTTTTTGTATTTTTAGTAGAGATGGGCTTTCACCGTGTTAGCCAGGATGGTGTCGATATCCTGACCTCATGATCCACCCGCCTCGGCCTCCCAAAGTGCTGGGATTACAGGAGTGAGCCACCTCGCCAGGCCTGCATTTCTATTAATGTTAAGAAGTCATGCTTCAGGTGACCCCTAGCGGGGAGAGAGGAAGGCGGGGAAGGAGGGAAAGAAGAAAGCCTCAGAATCATGGTAGGAAGTGCCTGGTGGTTCTTAGTTTTCCTCTGGGTAGCTCCTGGCTCCCAGGGACTCTCTGTTTATGATGCTGTACAAAATGGGCTAGAGAACCTCAAACTCTTCACACTTACCTCGATGAGGTCAGCTGAAGCAAATCCAAAGGCAGTGAGGGTAGTTTTCAGCATGCTTTCTTTAGGAAGGTAGTTATTTGGATCAAATATAAGATTCCCTTCTATTTTGGCTGAGGCTGGGTCAAGTGATGGAAGAGAAACAGATTTGTAGAGTTGATAGTTCCGAGAGAATTTTCTGAAGTCCATGACAGTTGGAAGTTGAGATTCTTTCAGAGCTTCTTTCACTAACTTTTTCAGACTAGATAAGAAGAAGTATATTTTGAGCTGACACACCATGTTATTATCCTTTGACTCTTGCACCCCAAGTAAATATGGATTTCCAATCACTACCAAAATGTCTTGATTTCATTGACCCTAAGTCTTTGGGTCTAGATCTGCTACACATTTGCACAAGTGTTTGTTTCAGAAGCAAGGGCAGACAGTGGCTATGCCAAAACCTAGGGTTGGAATTCCAGCTCAGGGCCCTCAGTGGTATATGGGGTGAATAGCTCTTACTTACTCTTGGATATCCAATTCTTCTGAGTTCAAGATATTGGCAATATGGGAAGCCACAAAGTTCTTCACTTGCTCATTCTGTTCCCATGGTAGAATTTGGACAATTTTGTTAATATCTGCCTGTGAAGGACTCCTCATCAACATAAGATAGGCAGCCAGTCGCTTATCTCCCGGAGAAGCATCATCAAGGAAAGTCTGAAGAAGAACCTCCTGGTCCTGCAGTCAAAAGAGGAGATGGTTATCACTGTCCTGTGGTCAGAACACAGAACATGCCTGGCAAACACTGGCATTGTCTGCTAGCTCTTTCTTAAGCACAGGTCTAATTTCTCTGTAATCGTTCTTCAAATGCTGGTATTGAATCTTCTTGCCAGTGTTTCCTAGAGCACTATCAAGTAAGGGTTCCCAGAAAAAGCCTGTGGAATGCCTGTTGAATTCAATTCCATTAAAACACATAAATTATGGCCAAGTTGTGATTTGTTTGGAGATCCACCACTAAGTGAAAATCAAGTTGTTTTAACGTAAGTTATTTTAATGTGAGGATAAAGATGAGAAGGGGTAGTAAGAGTTTGGGGCTAATAAATAGGGTAGTTTCCAAAGTTCTGGAGTCTTTGCACCTAAGAGGGGGCCAAGTTGGCTATCCTAGCCTAAGCTTATTGGGGGAAAATTAAGCATGTTTTTCCATGATGAGAGGGATGGTCAATCTGGTAGGTGGACGGTAGGAAGCAAAAACATCTCACGTTCTGCATGTTGACATAGCAGCAAAGTCAAGTATTTCTCTCACGTCACATACTGCTAGGCAGTCAAGTCAATAGGCTTGTTGAAATTTGCAATTAGAAAACAGTAGAGGCCAGGTGCAGTGGCTCACGCCTGTAATCCCAGCACTTTGCAAGGCTGAGGCAGGCGGATCACCTGAGGTCAGGAGCTCAAGACCAGCCTGGCCAACATGGCAAAACTCCATCTCTACTAAAAAATACAAAAATTAGCTGGGTGTAATGGCACATGCCTGTAATCCCAGTTACTCAGGAGGCTGAGGCAGAGAGAATTGCTTGAACCCAGGAGGCAGAAGTTGCAGTGAGCCGAGATCATGCCACTGCACTCCAGCCTGGGCAATAGAGTGAGATTCCATCTCGAAAGAAGGAAGGAAGGAAGGAAAGAAGAAAGGGAGGGAGGGAGGAAGGAAGGAAGGAAGGAAGGAAGGAAAGGAAAGAAACAGCAGAATAAAGTCAGTAGATGAAATCTAGAGTCTCATTCCCCTAGTACCTTCCAAATCCTTGTTAATAAACTTTCACTTTCAGACCTCTTCTTGTGGACTTTACCTTGTCTTTAGGCTCCATTTTCCGCAGAGCCTGGATGGCAGCTTTCTGGATCATCAGTGATGGCTTTGTACTTTGGACACATTTCAGGATTGAAGACTTGAGTTCTGGAGTTAACTGCTCCATGGTTTGGCCCATATTTCCAATGACCTGCATTGAAGAAAAGAAACAAGAACCCATCAGGGTGCAGGAGAGGGAAGTAAAAGGTGTCCAGGAAAAGTGCTTCTGAAATGATGTATGTCATATAAAAGACTGAGATTACCCGCAGAATCAAATAGGTGTAATCTTCATCCCCAGTGCAGTCATCTTGAATCTGTTCCATCAGGTAATTAGCAATGTCCAGCAGCTCCTGGGTCCCTGTAGGGTTTGTCTTATGATAGCTACAGAATAAGAGAAGAGAGTCAGGACTTGGTAACCCCAGTTAGGTTTGTCTTAAAACCCAAACTTGTGAATTAGAAAAAATAATTATAAAATTCATATGGAATCCAAAAAGAGCCTGAATAGCTGAAGCAATTTTAAGCAAAAAGAACATAGCTGGAGGCATCACATTACCTGACTTCAGATTATACAACAAGGCTATAGTAATCTAAACAGCATGGTACTGGCATAAAAATAGACACATAGATCAATGGAACAGAATACTGAACCCAGAAATAAAGTCACATACTTACAGTCAACGGATCTTTGACAAAATTGACAAAAACATACACTAGGGAAAGGACACCCTTTTCAATAAGTGGTGCTGGGAAAGATGGATTGCCATATGCAGAAGAATAAAACTGGACTCCTATCTGTCACCATATAAAAAAATCAACTCAAGATGGATCAAAGACTTAAATATAAGACCTGAGACTATAAAAATGCAAGAAGAAAACCTAGGGAAAACTTCTCTGGACATTGGCCTAGACAAAGAATTCGTGAATAAGACCTCAAAGGCAAAGACAACAAAAACAAAAAATAGACAAATAGAACTTAATTAAAGTAAAAAGTTTCTGCACAGTAAAACAAATAATCAACAGGGTGGTAACCTGCAGAATGGGAGAAAATATTTGCAAACTATTCATCCAATGGGGTACTAATATCCGGAATGTACAAGCAATTCAAACAACTCAACAAAAAAATCCCCCAAATAATCCCATTAAAAAGTAGGCAAAGGACATGAATAGACATTTTTTTCAAAAGAAGACATACAAATGGCAATAGGCATATGAAAAAATGCATAACATTACTAATCATTAGAGAAATGTAAATTAAAACCACAATGAGATAACATCTTACAAGAGTCAGGAGGGCCATTATTCAAAAGACAAAAAATAACAGTTGTTGGTGAGGATACAGAGAAAAGGAAACAGTTAATCACTGTTGATGGGATTGTAAATAAGTACAACCACTATGGAAAACAATACAGAGATTTCTCAAAGAACTAAAAATAGAACTACCAATAAATCCAACAATCCCATTACTGGGTATATACCTAAAGGAAAAGAAATCATTATATCCAAAGGAAACCTGCACCCATATGTTTATCACAGCACTATTCACAATAGCAAAGACATGGAATCAACCTAAGTGTCTATCAATGGACGATTGGATTAAAAATGTGAAATGTATAGGCAATAAAATACTATTCGGCCATAAAAAGAATAAAATCATGTCATTTGCAGCAACATGGATGGAACTGGAGGTCATTGTCTTAAGTGAAACAGGACAGTCACAGAAAGACAAATATTGCGTGTTGTCATTTATAAGTGGGAGTGAAATAATGTGCACACAAGGACATAGTGTGTGGAATGATAGACAATTGAGACTCAGAAGGTGTGGAAGTGGAGGGAGATGGATGGTGAGAAATTACTTAGTGGGTACACTATATGTTGTCTGGGTGATGGATACCCTGAAAGCCCTGACTTAACTACTGCACAATCTATTCATGTAACAAAATTACACTTGTTCCACATAAATTTATATAAAAATGTAAAAAAGAAAAAGCCAAAAAATTTCATCAAAGGAAAAACCTGCTAGCCTGAGCAACATGGTGAAACCCTGTATCTACCAAGAATACAAAAATTAGCCAGGGCATGGTAGCATGCACCTGTGGTCCCAGCTACTCAGGAGGCTGAGGTGGGAGGATCACTTCAGCCCAGGAATTTGAGGCTTCAGTGAGCCGTGACTGCATCACTGCACTCCAGCCTGGGTGACACAGTGAGACCATCTCAAAAAAACAACAACAACAAAAAAAAACAAAACAAACAAACAAAAAAATTCAGAGGAAAAAACTGCTAACTAATATTGAACTGAAGTTAATAATATGCAAGCTGTAATACTTAGGGGAAAGTGTGTTGATGTTTGCAATTTACTTTGAAATGCTTCAGAAAATAAGATGAATTAATGGATGGATGTATATGTGATAAAGCAAATATAATAACACTTAAATAGTAGGAGATAGCTGGTTTTCTAGGGGTTTTCCCTGTGAAATTCTGTCAACTTTGCTATGTTCAAAAACTTTTATAATATAATGTAGAGAAAATATTTTTAAAAATTCAATTTGTGTTTGCTGATTTCTTATTTCAAGTCATTACCCCAAAAATGATCAAGAAAAAACACAAGAGTAAGGAGCAGAGTTTGAAAGTGGAAGGAGGGGTTCAGTTTTAATACAGAGATGCACAGAGGTGCAAGATGTTCCTCTGCTCCTAGGAGGAGAAATACAGTGTGGAAACTCACTTGTTGACCGCGTGGCTCAGCGCATACAAGGTGGCTCGGCTGCGCTGATCCCTCGCCATGTTGAAGATCTCTCGCAGCTGCTGTGCTGAGGGCTCGGGGATCAGGGCCACCAGGTAGGTGACCACATCTATCAGAAGGGGGTTGGCATGCACACGTTTCAGCCACTGGAGGATGTGAGTGGAGCACTGAGGCTGTCCACACTGAACCAAGGCTTGTAAAGTGATGGGGCTGAGAAGAAAGACATGGATAAAGTTATACAGACCACCTTCAGGGCACATAAAATATTGCTCATGGTGTGTCCTCTGCCAGGAGAGCCCTTAATCACCTCATTCACTATTCAAATCTAACTTCAAAACCCAACTTGGAGCTCAGAACCATGATGCTTTCCTTAGGAATATTACCCACAGAAGAAGCCCAATCGAGAAAAGTTCCAAGAGGGGACTGTGGATCTGTAGCAACAAGAAGACTGTTATCACAGTCCTTTGGCCAGCACACAGAATATGCCTGGCCAACATTAGCTGGGTCTCATTCCTGGCCTCAGTCCCTTCTCTCACCTTCATAGCACTTAAAGCCAGTGCCTTGAAGGGTAGAGAAATCATATTATATTTTTCGTCTGAGTTCTCTCTCCACCAGCCTATAAGCTTCTGGAGAGCACCTGCAATAGACCTAGGAATTAAAAGTTACCCATCAAAATGTGGGAACTATTCTCCTTCTGTTTTAACACACAAATACATAGCTGCCTTGAACACAGTATGCGCGTGTGTGTTTCATGGAACTCAGCGCAGCAGCTGATAGTTCTCTATCCAGCAATCATGAACTGATTGACTAATTGATTAACTGGATTGATATCCAAATGGTCCCTGAGATTCTCCATTTGGCCAAGGTTTGAAAGTTCAGTCAGTTACCATCAGTTTTATAAAAAGTTGAGCTGTAACCATTAGATACCTGGACACCTCAATCAGCTGTGGCAAGAGAGATGTGACTGCTTCATCACTGAGGCCTCTCAGCTCAGTAACCAGCTTATTGAAGAGATTAGCTCTCTGGATATTTTGCTCAGAGATGGTTAGTTTTTTCAGTTCCTGGAGAGTCTTCAAAACAGCTTCGGCCTGCTTTGGAGGTGATGTGGATTTGGTGCTCTCAAATGCGAGGCCCATCTTCTTAGTACCTGGAAGATGGAAAGTGTCAAAGGAACTCTAGCTTTCTTCATCTCAACCATATCTTTGTCTACTGGAAGCTGGAAATTGTGGAGTATCAGCACAGGGGAAAAGGGAAAGAAACTATCCTGTATTCAATGCCTGCTAGATCTGGCTCTGCCATAGGTGATTGACTTGTTTTCACTGACTCATCATCCTATCCCTGTGGGGTGGCATTATTGTTCAATTTAATGATAAATTCAGCCCTGCTTCTGAGACCCACAGAGTTTTTGGGCCATGTAAATTGCTCATCCCTGGATCTCAGCTCTGAGTCCCAGAGATGAGACAAAGAGATGAGACCCAGAGATGAGGAAGTGTGACCCAGAGATGAGCAACTTAGGTTTCCCAAGAGCTCTCAGGGTCTAAGAGGTAGAGCTAAAGTGGAATCCAGACTTGTCTGAGTCTATCATCAGGTTACCCTTAGCTTGAAATAATTGGTGAGGAGGTGCTACTGTTGACATGGTTACAACTGGGACCAGGCACATGGGTGCTTATCACCATTTCTTCTAATTGGGTCTACCAGCAGCTTGTGGGGAGGGGAGACACTTTTGTATCCTCTCCACCACCTACTGTGACCTATGCCAGGAAGAGAGGTAAAAGTCATCATGGAAATGTGGTGTAATGAGAATAGTCCTGGCTTAGATTACAACCTGGCACTTATTTTCCCCCCTCTAATATTCTGCGGCCTTGACTACATCAAACTCTAAGCCTCTCTGTGTCACTGTCTCCTCTGTAGAATAGGTATAAAATCACATCTCTACCACCTGACATCACAGGTTGCTATGAGCAAAAAGGACAATGAGGTAATGTACAAGAAGGAATTTGGACAGATATAAATACAATACAATACTGGGTAAGGGTTGGACTTGAGATTGTTAGAGTTCCTTCTACCTCTAAAGACTGACTCCTGAGGTTACTATCTGGCCAGACTCTGAAGGTTCTCTCCCACTTGGTCCACCTCGTCTGGGACAGCTCTGGATCTTATCACAGGATGGGTGATGTCAGTTCTATCAAATATGTCATGTTAAACTTAGGATTCCAGTTTTCTATTTACAAATGCCTAAGTAGCTTTGGGAACTTCTTTTCCTTTATGCCATTGCAACTTGACATCATGAAATGAGTTTGCTTTCTCACTAGAGGTAGCCAGAACACCAGTGTCTGTATCACTTGTTAGTCAGCAGACATTTAACAGGGCTCAGCAAGTGGCTAAGCCATGATAGGCACATCTTGAGTAGATTTTCCAGCAACTATGTGGACAGAAACTCTTACCTTCACCAAAGAAGCGGCTGTTGATCTTTGGTGTGTCTTCAAGTTTCAAAGTCTGTGTCACTTGTGCTACCATCCCATACTTATTCCTGGTAACCAAGGAAGCACACCATGTCACGGATGGCCAGAACATACTATTCTTTCCATGTTGAAGGTTTTCCCTGTCTCTGCATCTACCCAAGTCCTGCCCATCTTTCAAAGCATGGGTAAATCCAGCCATTGTTGGCCCTGAATGAATAACATCCACCTCTTCCTGGTCACGCTAGTTATCCTCCCATCAAAAAGACATGCGTGCCTTATACTCTCCACTAGTCTGGAGTGGCCAGAGGTAGGAACTAGTGCAATGTCTCAAAATTCTTTCGTATCTTCCACAACATAGAGCCAAGAATATGGCAGTTACTCAATATATATTCATTGATTATCAGTTTTCAAAGTGGATTTGGATACACAAGTTTCCAGTCAGTATCCCAAATCTTCCATGAAACCTTTTCTAACCAGGGTACCCTGCAGTGATCCTCAGGTTTTCTGGATCTACAGCCCTTAAAGAATGGGTCTTAGATATCTTTTGTTGGTCTTGGATTGTTTTGCATGCCTAGGACTTTTCTGCCAAATGGCCTGTTCGCTTAAAAAGGGGGACAGGGAGGGGCGGCATTTTATCCCTCTCCATTCCTCCCTCCCAGGCACAGGTTTGCCTGGAACAGAGCACTTGAGAAGTGTTCAGTTCACACTGACCCATTAAATGACAAATCAGGGGTGCATCACATGACCTACTTGTAGGAGAAAGGCAGGAAGAGGTGTTGCTCCTTGCAGATGGCTTCTGCCACATGCTTCCTCTTAGCGTCCAGTGTGTACTGACAGGACTGGCTGCTGCTGATCAGAGTTGACAAGGGGCGGGTCTATGAAAGAGATTGGAGACGAGCATTTTGATCAGTCCCTGTATCTTCTGTTAAAAGCATTTACCTTCAAGGTAGAAGGGAGCAGGAGTCCTGTACCACTAGATAAACTCAGAGAAAGAAGATAACTGGGTACTTGACATTTAGACCAGGGGGTGCAACAAGTCGGCATCCCCAAAGCTGAGTCAAGCTGTAGACTCCTCTTTTTCCACCCTCACTGGACAATGTCTAAACTTTGTATCCTCCACATGCCCATCCCACCACATAGCCCCTCACACACCTGCTCAGTAACTTTTCTTTGCCCAAAAGCCCATTCTTACATGTCTCTTTCATTTACATATTCTTTGCATTTTTTGGGTTCCTGCTCCACATCTTCCATGAAATGTTGCCCGCTGAGCTACATGAATAATTCTTTCTCCTTCCTGGTCAGGCCCAGGACTTCTTGTCTGCACTGTTCAGCTTATCACCTTATTGAGTATACCACGTATACTTTATTGACCTGGCTCCTGCATTAGACTGGAAGCATCCTGAGGGGAAGGTCCATGGTTCATCTGCCACTGTCCCTTCCTTGGTGCTGCCCAGAGTGGGGTTGAGCAAACAGCAGATGCTCAGAAAAGACCCCTAAGCCAGTGCATTATCCTCTTCTGACTGTGGCACTCATGGTCATCAGACTCCCTGTTTTCAACCCTAAGGACAATGACCAGGAACAGCGCCCAGCATGACAGTGATTGCCCAAGTTATTCATGTTCACTGAGACAGGCTGGGGCTCATATCAGGGAAGATGTTGCAGGGGTCAGGCAGGCTCAGGTAATATGGTGCTCCATGGCCCCAGTTAACAGAGAGGAGAGGGTGCTCCAGGCCGGTGGCAGTGGGGCCATGTTTGGTCAGGGTGGTACTGGGGGTGGAAGGACAAGAAGCTGGAGCACTCTAAGTCACTCCACTTCATGGGATGAGGGAGAGGGGGAGAACACAGGTCTTGGGACTTCTTCAAAGGCCAGAGGCTTGGAGCTGGCACAAGGAGTCCTTGTGCAGAAAAGAACAGAAGGTGGTTTTGCTGCCCTACATCCATCCCCGGAACCTTCTCAGAGGTGAGTAGTCATTACTCTCAAGTGATGAGATTAGAGGCAGTTTGGTGCCAGTGACAGAAGGACAGGAGGAAAGACAGAGCTCTGGGCTGGGAGGGAGGAGCCTGACTCAAGCCTTGGCTCAACTGATCCCAGGCCGTGAAGCCTGGGCAGACCTTCCCGTGCCTGCTCAGGGTCCTATCTCTAGTCTGTATAAAAAACAGCCAGGGCAGGCTGTCCTCAAAGGTGCCCACTAGCTCAAAAGTTCTGGAATTGTATTAATAAGAGGATGCTCCTTGCTGTGCACGACAGTGCTGACATGGGACTTACCATGCCTTTGATGAGAGCAAGTGGGCTGATGCCTGTGCGGATGGGCTTGAAGCGATCACACTGCCCCAGGTCTCTTTCAGTGGATATTTCTGTTGCCACATTGCCCTTCCTCGTCTTGACGGTAAAGTGAGTGGAGCAGTTTCCATACACGGTATCCTATGGAGGAAGAAGATGCAACCACATGTATTCAACACGGGCAACATCCTTGGGTACTTGGGAGGGATGGGGTGGGGATCGTGAAAGAAAAAGCAGAAGGAATCTAGCTTTGGGAGGGACTTTCTTTTTCTTCCTATGCAGAGTGTGGTCTTGCTAGTGCCTGGCCAGCCCAAGTTGGGAGAGAGAAAACCAGTTAAAGGTGGGTCTGCAGAAAGGCCTCCGCAGGTTGCATCGGTGTCTTCTCCCATTATGGTGTCGTAGAGAAATTAGAACACACAAAAGTGCTCATGGGACTGAGGTGAAATGAATTCTGTCTCACAGTGAAACCTGAAATTCGTAAAAGAGACCAGCAACAGATCCCATTATTTTTGGTGTTTAAAATACACACAGGATTTACTGTGTACACCATAACCCAGCAAACACAGGTGAAGCATCAAACAAAAGCAGGGGTGGGGTGGCCAGGACTCCTCAATGACTGTTTTAAAATTAGACCCAACCTGATAAGCCTGCTTGGGATGATCTGTCAGTGAGCCTAAGGGGCAGGAGGAACCTCGGGCACCAGTATTTCACGCCAATCCAGGGCTTCCTATGTAACTAGTCATGGAGCTGACTCAGTGATCTGCTTTGTATATGGTAGGACTGGTCTCTAACACATGAAGATGAGTTTCAAGGGCCACTGCTATCAGCTTTCTAAATCCTCACCAGAAACAACACTTGCTTGGCTTCTTCTGTCTCTGGGGGAACCAGGAGGGCAGAAATGATGCCCCTCTTGATGTTCAGGATGTAAGTAGGTTCATCTTTCTCCGGGTAAAGGAAAACCTGCTTCCCTTCTGGAATGGCCAGCTTGAGCTCATACCTGTCCCAGAGAGAGGATGGTCACGGAAATGTCCTTCTCCATTACAACTTGCTGGAAGTAAGCTGGGTGGCACTGAAGTTTCTTTTCTCATATTTTTTTAACCAATTGTTCTTCTGACATCATTTATTTGTAAATATAGAATATAGCTACACATAGACATACATTTTCAAAAAAGTATGCACATATACATAAGTTTTGGTGATTCTTTTTTTTTCTTTTTTTCTTTTTTCTTTTTCTTTTTTTGAAATGGAGTCTCGCTCGGTCGCCCGGGCTGGAGTGCAATGGCGCAACCTCAGCTCACTGCAACCTCCACCTCCTGGGATCAAGTGATTCTCCTGCCTCAGCCTCCGGAGTAGCTAGGACTACTGGCATGTGCCATCACACCCAGCTAATTTTTGTATTTTTAGTAGAGACAGTTTTCACCATGTTGGCCAGGCTGGTCTCAAACTCCTGACCTCAGGTGATTCTCCCTCCTCGGCCTCCCAAAGTGCTGGGACTACAGGCATGAGCCACCAGGTCCAGCTGTGTTTTAACTTTTTTTGCTTGGCTCATCCAGCCCTGCTCTGTTCTCCACCCATATCAGTCTCTTTGCCCATCCTCCCCATACGGACACCCGAGTGGTTGTTCCATTTGTTTCTGCACACTCATACAATCCTCTGTAAACATGGGTGAGTGCAAACAGAGTCATACAAAGATTTTGCCATTGTTTGTTTTATACAAGTGGCATTGTATTATGCATACTTTTATCTTGTTTTTCTCACTTAATTATACTTCACAAAAATCCTTCTGAGTCACTTGGTACAGCTCTAACAGATTTTTTTAAAAGCTGCATGCAGAACATTCCATTCCATGGCTAAATATAATTTATTCACACATTGCCCCATTTGATGGCATTTGCCCTCTCTCTTTCTGGATTTTTTTTAAACCACACAAACAATACCAAAACAAACATCCTTATGTGCCTATCTTCACACATTACTGCTTTTATTTTCATGGGCTAGAGTCCCAAAGACTAAAATATCTGTGTCAAAGGGTATTAAGTATTTTAAATTACAGTAGATATTGCCTGATGGCTCTCGTTTCCACCAGCAGCTCAGGACAGCACACTTTTCCTCACTGGCCTGCCAGCAACAGGTGCTATCACTGTTTTCCAGTTTTGCAGTATGATGGGTAAAAGCAGATAAATATCTTGTTGTTACATTAATTCGCATTTCTTGACTACCAGTGAATTGGAGCTTATTTTCATACACTTGTTGGACAGTCATTCTTTTGTATGGTGTCAGGCCATGGCTGAAGCCCATGCTGACTTTGGTCTTAGGGATTTCCCACTGGGTACTCTCTGAGTTTCTGAGGACCTGGCTGCAGCCACTCTGGTTACATCAGGAGGAAAAGGTGACGGACTTATCTCCCACAGCCTACACTCTCTCAGAAAGTTCCCAACACGAAGAAATGATAAATGTTTGAGATGATGGGTATGCTAATTACTCTGATCTGATCACCATACATTACATGTATCAAAATATCACTATGTTCTCAATAAATATGTATAATTATTGTATGTCAATTTTTAAAAAAGACAGTTAAAGTCATGAAGATGCAAACATGGAAAGCCCTCCTTTTCAAGAACAGGAGTCTCTTCTGTATTTGGAGAAGACCAAGGACCAAAAAATAAACCACTCTTTCCTCCTGCCACCATACCCCTCTCCCTCATATACAGTTAAGTCTTGGAGAAAATAAAGCATAGGAAAGAAAGAAGCCTCACAGCCTATTTTGGCAAGAAAGGACTGGCATCTGAATCTAATGTTTAGCAAAACTGAAAAATGGGCAAGGATGGTGATATGGTTTGGCTCTGCGTCCCCACCCAAATTTCGTCTCGTAGCTCTCATAATTCCCACGTGTTGTGGGAGGGACCCGGGGGGAGGTGATTGAATCATGGGGGCAGGTCTTTCCCGTGCTGTTCTCGTGATTGCAGATGGGTGTCGGGAGATCTGATGGTTCTAAAAACAGGAGTTTCTCTGCACAAGCTCTCTTTGCCAGCCACCATCTACATAAGATGTGACTTGCTGTCCCTCACCTTCCGCCATGATTGTGAGACCTCCCCAGCCACGTGGAACTGTGAGTCCAATAAACCTTTCTTTTGTAAATTGCCCAGTCTCAGGTATGTCTTTATCAGCAGCATGAAAACAGACTAATACAGACAGAGTTTTCTGATGCTACCAAGTTAACAACTCTATCCTGCCTGTATTCATACACACCTAGGACCCTACAAACTGTGATTGAGGATGAGGCAGGGGTGATGTTGAAAATATTTACAATGGGTGCGACATGGGCCCTGACCAGTCAGCAGAGATGCAGCTGCAGTGGCCGATCAGCGTGCAGTGGCTGAATGCCAGCCTAGGAGGGGGAGCCACCGAAGCCTTGGTGCTCCTCTGCCCTGCGGTGAACAGACCCTGCCCCGCCATGTGCCGGCCACAGCAGCCAGTGCCTCTGGGACCCCACACCAAAGACCACCAAGCACTAGTCTTGACTAGTTCTTTAAATAAGAATTCACTTGTTTAAACAAAGCATCTCAGTTTTATAATCTCAAGAAGTTTAAAGCATGAGATTTTTAGAAACACATGAAAATGATAATTAAAGGAACCTAACTAGGGAAGGTTAACTAATGCTTCTCTCTTTTTGATGATTGTGAAAACTCAGTAATTCCCTGATCCACGATGGATACGGAATACAAATACTTACAGTCACATCCGTGCCTGGTGCAAACACACAAGTTCATACCTCAGCGGACACACACACATGCGTGTGCTCATGTACAACATGACTTACCTGGACATGGCTGCAGCAAACTCCTCAGAGTTCTTGGTTTTCTTCAGCAAGGCTTTGCCCTCAGGGTTGAAGCCATACACCTCTTTCAGGGTGCACTGGCTGGTCTTCAGGATGAAGCTGCAGAGCTGGGGAACCTCCAGCTCAACCTGAGAATTCAGGGTAGCAGAGCATTGAGGTTGTCTATCAAGAATGAGAGGTGGCCCCTGAAGCCCAGGGCTTAATCTCTAATCAGAGCACCAAAGGGAATGGTGCTGGGAACACCACTGCCTGCGCCTCAACACCACATGCCTTATCAACATGCCTCCTGGGTTCTCTGTGCACCAACCTAGACTTAGTCCTATTGCTGACGTTTTCCCCCTCCCGGGTAACACATTTCTTAAGTTTGCCCCTAGGCATGGGAAGGAGGATGTCCTTTTATTGGTTCTAAAGTTACTCACTTTAATTATAAAGAGCTGTGGTTAAATAGAAGCGCTGCAGACTAGGAGTGAAAGTGAAGAAGAAAAACAGAAAGCAGGAAGAGGGCCATCCTTCGTTTCCACAGCAAATGTCTCCTTAATGTCACCCAAAAAACTGGTTATATCTATTAGGGCCTATTTAGAGCTTTGCATATAGCTGGAGTTTCAACGGATTCCTACTTATTATCCAGCACTATTCAAATAACTTTATAGAAATGTTGTACATGTGTGCTGTTCAATATGGGAGCCAGTAGCCAGGGTGGCTGTTGAGCAGTTGAAATGCAGCTAATGTGACAACGAATATGAATTTTTAATTTCATTCCATTTAAATAGCCCAATGTGGCTCATGTCTACCATATTGGACAGCACATACAAGAGCTACGGTACTCTCTAAAAAAAGGTGACTGCTCAGCTTGACTTCTCTTCCCCACCCAAACCCCAATAGCAGCCTGTAGATCTGCTCCACATGTATGTAACATGAGTACAACCAGTCTCAATAATAAGCAAAGTTTTATTTTAGAACAAACTGTATGTTTATATTTTTTTCTTCTTTCCATTCATTTTTCAGCAACAGATTCTGTTTGACTTAAATTATAAAAACTGCATTTCACAGTGCGATTCCGAGTTGCCTGCCTCCCATAGCTCACCTACTGGGCCTCTCTCACGCTGAAATCTACAGACCCACACTGCTGCTAATCTAGATCATGGATTCCTATTGCATCTGGGAAGTTAACGGGAAAATACTTCTGACTTGCGAAATTTGGTGGGGGCAGACCACATCTCAGCAATGTGGCTGACTTACAAACAGAGGCAAAGTCCCAGTGCTTTGATCAGATTACAACAGTTCTGGGATGTTCTGCGTTTGCTCAGTACACACCCTCCGGGAAGGTCGCGTGTTGGGCGCCCGCTGGAACAGGGCTGGGGGAAAGCTGTGGGCTCTAGGTCCCTCCTGCCTGCATCCTCCATACCTTGCAGTTGATCCTGGTGGCACTTCTTGAATCAGCAGTCCCAGGGACTCCACTGGAACTCTCAGCCTCATAGTTGTATGTGTACTTCCGGAGGTGCTTGAATCGGGTCGCATCTTCTAACGTGGGGAGAAATACGTCAGCCACATAGCAGAAATAGCTCTCCCAAGGACAGCCAATTCTGGGCAGAGAGGGGCAGTGGCATAGAGAATTAAAAATGGTAATTCAACTCAAATTATTTTTTAATTGACTTTATACTTAATTTTCCTTTATAGATTTGACTTCTCCATTATGTTTTTGCTGAGGCTAATGTTTAAATTGGCTGGCATGTCTTGAATATCTCATCTGAGGCACAGGGAAGGGAGTGACAAGTGTCAAGTAATGGGGCTCAGAAAATCTGCATGAGAGACCCTCTGGCAAATTAAGAGATGACAACATTACGCAAATAGTACTATCTCTAATGCTTTTTTAGCTTGAACACGCCGTAATTCCGTGACTCTAAGACTACCAAATACTTAAGGCAAAGTTCATTAAGCATTAAGCGTAACTAACTTAACAAACTCCTAGAAAAGAATTTCTGGAGGTTTCCACTGTAGTTGAGAGGAATTTTCTGAACAATTGAAGAAAAAGAACATCTGGGTCCTGAGTCCAGCTGCAGTGATGACAGACGGCCACTAGATGGCGGTGCTGCCCCATCAGAAGTCCGCCCCGCGGCTCCAGCACACAGGGTCGCGCTTGGAGGCCAGTTCCTTTAACCCCCAGGGGTCAGGTAAATAGGAAGGGGGTGGAGGTTCGATTTCTTCACAAAGGTTAAAGTCAGTATTTCCTCACCCTCACATGCTTCGAATCAATGACTAGTCACTGATAAACAGGACAGTGATGTTTCTTCAAAGTGTGCACAGGCCAGCGGAGAGACAATCCCTTCCCTCCCCCGCCCCCAGGCTGAACTTTTGGGACAGAACAGAAGGCCAGGTAGAAGAGAGTTGGCATCCCTTGGGTGTGGGCAGAGGCTCAGGGAACTTGCTTCCTGGGGTCAGAGCAAGGCACACCACGATGCCATCTCAGCCCTGTAGAGTGGGAGGCCCTCAGGGACCCGGGTGTAGGAGAGTGCACGGGGCTGGGCGCCCTTCCACGCCCCATGCGCAGATGCCTTACTTGGACAGACCAGGCTGACATTTTCCAGCATTTCCTCTTCTGTAAGACAGGAGAAAGAAATCTGTGAGCTTCCCACGTCTTCCCAGCGGGTGCTAGGGCCCGACAGGGGGACCACCGGCACAGGTTTCACCTTTCAGGAGGGAGGCAGGCTCCGGAGACCCCCTCCTCAGCCCCTCCATCCCGCGCCCCCCATCCTGAGCCTGCAGGGGCCGCCAGCTGGTCCAATCCCCCCACTCGCCCTGGACCCTGTGGCTGCCCTCCCTCTGGCCTAGGCCCAGGCTGCCCCGGCCAACCTCGTGCCGCCGGCTCCCTCCCGCTCCCTCTGCGCCCGCAGAGCGGCCGCGCACTCACCGGCCCTGGCGCCCGCCAGCAGCAGCAGCAGCAGCGCAGGCAGCGCCAGCAGCGCCAGCAGCGCGGGCCTCGGCGGGTCCATCGCCAGCTGCGGTGGGGCGGCTCCTGGGCTGCGGCCTGGCCTCGGCCTCGCGGCCCTGGCTGGCTGGGCGGGCTCCTCAGCGGCAGCAACCGAGAAGGGCACTCAGCCCCGCAGGTCCCGGTGGGAATGCGCGGCCGGCGCCCGCACCCCATTTATAGGAAGCCCAGGCTGCAAGAGCGCCAGGATTGCAAAAGGTCCAAAGGGCGCCTCCCGGGCCTGACCTGTTTGCTTTTCTACACTGGCTTCTCTTTGAGCCTTGAAGAGCCTCGGGGAGGGGGCCCACCTGGGATGCAGCCGCAGCCACCAGGGGCTGGGTCCCAGGTGGGTTCCCTTCCCCAAGCGTCTTCAGTGCTCTGGCGCGGCCCTTCCTGTGTCTCAGTGGGGCCATGGCCAGCGCCTCAGGGTCTGAGAAGCCTGCCCTGACCAGGGGTGCCTTCTTCAGATGACCCACCATGGGGACAAAATCTCTGCTTCTCCTGGACTGAATTGGGAGCCACGAGGAGAACCAGTCCTGAGCGCTGTCTTGGTGGAGACGTGTTCCCATCGGTTACTTCTTTTCCATTTTGGTGGACCTTGGATTTGCACCCACACCCTAATCCTGATCAGAATCTGTGGCTGCGGGGTTCAGCCCGTGCTGGGGGAGGAGAGAGAAGGGGGATGCAGGGAGGTCTGGTGAGTGACCAGTCACTGCCCCTGAGGATGGGTGGCCTGCCTGGTCCCAGCAGGAGTCCAAGTATCTGTCTTCAAGAAACCCCAGCGAGGAGAGGCCTCTGGGGAAGAGCAACCTCCGAGGGCGCACCCCTCTTGTGCAAAGTGTTCTTGGGTTGTTGAGAGGAGGATTTCCTGCACCAGCTTCTAGGTTTCCTCCAGTGGTGGGGAGGCGGACGAGGAAAAGCAGAGTAGTGGACAGGACACGTCATGTTCCTCATAGACATCTGGAACCTTCTCATGCATCGTTTCCTTCTCTTCTAGGCACTGCCCATTTCCCACCGGAAGCTTCAGCCAGCGCTCGCTGCCTCTGCCCAGCTGGAGGGAATCAGCGGTAGTGGAATTTCAGGGACACTCGGTTTACTAACCCAGGATCACTCAGAAGGGGTTATTGATGGGATGGCACTATGATGAGCTGAGTGAATGTCTGAGCCTGGCTGTGTCCCCAAGGCACCTCCACTCTGGTTAGGGAGACAAGCTGTGTACGCAGGAAACCGCTAGTGAGCAATTGTGGTAGGATAGAGGGGGCGACAACCAGGTAGGTATAACTGCTGGGGGACCACCCAGGAAGGCGAGTGGGAGGCGGCCAGGAGCAAGCCGGTAGAGTGCGGATGGGAAGTGGACAGCGCCTGTTGCAGAAGTCAGTGTGTGCTCATTGTTACAACTTGTCAGCTTTGTTTGAATTATGAGATAACCCCAGATGTAACAAGCTACTGGTGAAGACTGATGATTCCAGAAGGATCAATTCTGAAACAGTAACTATGTATAAAGACCCAGTTCCCTCAGAGGAGACTCACAGAAAGACCTTCGCCTGCTTCCTGCACCTGGGCTCCACACCTGTCCTTATTCAGATATTGTCATTAGCCATGAACTCCTATGGGCAGCTAAACTCCCTCCAGTGATCAGTTGCTCATCCACAGCATATTAATGTTATTAAAGATGGATATTACAGAGGTCTCAACTCAAGGCTGGTCATACCTACACCACTGATTTGTGAAAGGTCTGGAAAAAGTAATTGCTCTGAAACCCCATTTCTCTGAACACTTTATTTGAATTATTCTATGTGGACTGACTTTCCACAGGGTTCGCTGCTGCTAGTGTTTGAGGAAATGGTCCTGCTTCCATGCATATTCACATTAAGGAGAGTGAGTAAGAATATTCAGGTATAGAGAAGCCAAAAGGAGGTGTCGAGCTTTAATTTACAAGCACAAGTCCAAGCTTACTCTGTTACGTGCAGATGAAACCAGGGTCCAATGGTCAGCATCCATAGAGAATATATACATATATATATATATTTTTTTTTTTAATTTATTTATTTGAGATGGAGTCTCCCTCTGTCACCCAGGCTGGAGTGTAGTGGTACAATCTCGGCTCACTGCAACCTCTGCCTCCCGGGTTTAAGCGATTCTCCTGCCTTAGCCTCCCAAGTAACTGAGATAACAGGTGAGTGCCACTATGCCCAGCTAATTTTTGTATTTTTAGTAGAGACGGTGTTTCACCATGTTGATCAGGCTGGTCTTGAACTCCTGACCTCATGATCTGCCCGCCTTGGCCTCCCAAAGTGCTGGGAGAATGTAATTTTTATGAAGTAGGAATCAAAAATGAATTTGATGACTTGGAGGCAGGGAAACATTGTGAGATGCTTGGAGGTGGTGAGAGGACTGTCACCATCTCTAAAGGAAGAAACCTAAGACTCAGCTTCCCTCTTTTCCTGATGGTCTTTGGCAAGTCTTCCCTGAACTGGGCCCCAGCCAGCAGTAGTTATCCCCTGACAGGGTCTAGCACAACCCCACAGAGCAAATGTTGAATTGTTGAGCTGACTTGCGTACACTCACGGAAATGCTGTAAAGATTAGTGCATAGATTTTTCTTCAATTACAAAATCCACTTAGATCCTTTGTCAAAGACTACATGGAAATACATTACTTGTGACCAAAGATATCACCCTTCATCCCTTTTCCTTTAGATAGAGACACATTCTGGTGTCACACAGATTAATCTCAGCTAGTGACTGTGACTTATCAGCTCATAAATGCAAAGTCCTGTTGGGTGCACCATCAATCTGGGTAGTCATAGGGCTCTGGGTACCCATTAGAAAGCCACCTGACTAGAGGAATTTCAAGGCGATAGATAATGCTGAATGTCCCAGTTACATTATCTAGAAGCAAAACTATCCATTGTGCCTATCTGCAGCCGACCAGAAGGGTCTTGGCCAAGTTCAGGGAATCATGGAAGCTAATAAAGGACCCCAGCAGACCAATATTCTGAGTTTAGTGCTGTTCACATACTGAAGTAGGTGCTTAGAACATAATTTGCTGAATATGAATGAATGAATCTGCACCATTCAGCTATACCCCATTTTCCAGGATATTTATGCATAGCGACCGTGATGCTTAAATAAATATTTCCAGTGACATAAAGCAAGGAAATACAGTCTATACCAATTATTCCCAGCCATGCTGCTCCAAAATCTCATCTGGCAAATAGGGATCAGTATTGACAACGATTAATTAGCCTATCTCGTTTCTGCCTATGACAGCATTATAATTGCAAATGATGCCCAGAAGCTGGAAAGTAAACTTCAAACATTGTAGATGGAACTGTGCCCAGGGTGGCCTGTTTACCCAGTGACAGCATGCATGTGTGAGCACGTGCACACACACACACACACACACACACACACAAATGAGAACTATCAGGAAAGAAATGGCACATTTAGGTGAATGGTTCAGGAGGAAGATGATAGGGTGAGCCATTGTCAACCAAATGTAGGCATTCCAGATGGATGATTAACCCCTGCGAGAAGCAAAAAGAAACTTTCCTTCTCCATCATTCTGCTACCCAAGAGATAAGGTCAGAATGTTGAGTCGCAGTTCCTCCCGGGAGAGAAGCCAGAAGTCAGCAGGGTTCAATGTGCAGTGAGGAGCTGCGTAAGTGAATTATCACCCTCTTGCCTATGTGGATGTCATCCTTCCACCCACCCAGGGCTGGCTGCAGCCCCACCTACTGCACTGAATCTTTCTCTGGGAACAGCCCAGTTAGACTTCATAGCTTGTGACTCTGATTCCCTGTCATTCAGTTTCTAGGTAGGACAACGATGATGAAAGGCCTTCATACAAACCTGTTGTTGTCCTGAATACATTTTTCTCTTATAGCATTATTTGATTTTTCATGTGTTTACCTGTTGCCTTGCCAATGGGAGAGAGAAGCTGGGAGAGCAAGAACCATGTGTAGTTCACAGATTGGTACCCCTTGTCCTCTCTTCCTCACTGACACCCTTGCTAGGCCAGGCAGATGGTAGTCAAGCAGTAAACACTGTGATTATAATGTAATATGGTCCATGTGAATAGGTTTCTTTCATATGCACACTTCATTTTTACTCTTGAGTGTTGCTGCTTATGTTTACATCTTCATTTAGAATGCACAGTGAACTTGGAGCTGTAGGAGAGAGGAAGGGTCTGGGAACTGGGGCCATGGGACAGTTTCTACGGCTCTGGGTGGCAGTCCCTCATCTGTGTGATGAGAAGACAGGAATGGACGGTCTCTTAGCCCCATTCAGCTCTGACTACTTTGATTCTATGGAAATTTTGGGGCTGAAAAAACAAACACATAAATTATTTTGGGCTCAAACCTCATGGCTATTAGGAGCTGTGGCTGAGGATCCAGAACCATCAAGCAGGAAGGATTTTATGGGAGGCCATCGACCTCTCCAAAGACCTGTGCCCACACTGCCCAAGAAATAGAACCCTTCACTCATTTTACACAGATTTCTAAATCAGATGTGGGCATGCCCTCCTGAGGATGCTGGGGCACAGGGAATTGCAACTCTCCGGAAGTTCTTCCCCACGTCTAGCTTTAGGTTTCATATTTGCCTGACCTTGGGTAAACTTTCTTAGATATAACTTAGCATTTCTTTTGAAAGGCTTTTGGTCAGCTTTTGTCAGCCACTTTTTACTACTTTTAAAAAAAGTTTTCTTTATGTTCTCTCAAGACTAAGGCTCAGAACGTGTTACCTCAGAAAGCTGAGACCAGTGCTGGTGCCGGATAGCTGGATGGATAAACACACCTCACTATTCCCACACCAGCACTACTTCTCTTCATGTATTATGGAGCACCTCCGAGAGCTTCCAGACCAGGAGAAGGGCATAATCAGACGTCACAGCCAATAATGAGCGTACGCAATGTGCCCAGTGTGGGGTCTACACCACAGTTAGACTATAGTGGTACGATGGGGGTCTCGGGGGTCCTGGATGGGTGAGATTGAACTGGCTCTGGAATGGTGGGCAGGATTTGGGTAACTGAAGAGGGAGGCACACTGAAAGTGCAGTGGCAGGAAGCTGGGAACATGTTGGATATGTCTGGCCCCTGTGATGACGCCAGGCTACTGGAGTCTCTGGGGAGAAGGGAGACAGGGGGATGGTCAGTGGGGGATACAGTTTGCCATGCCCAGGCCAGGGACAGAGCTTTCAGGCTAATGAAGCCTTTGACTTAATTTGACACTAAATGTAGTACATATGGCACTGAAACTCTGGATTGTGTAGAAGGCCATGAGAATTGGGCTGAATTCTCCTTGTTCAGAGCTATGAAGGGAAATGTAGCAACAGGTATCTGTAGTCTCAAACATAGACAGGATCTTAGAAACCAAATCGTGACTAATATTCTCATCTTATAGAGAAACTGGGGTCTAGACAGGCTAAGAAGTTTTGTTTTGTTTTGTTTTGTTTTCATGACAAGAGCAGAGGTAAGGCGAGAACTTGGATCTTTAGTTTATAATCTAGGTTATTCATTCTACTCTAATTGCACTAAATCTACATTGGCTACATAAAATTGCTTGGAGATTGCTCTTTGGGCCAGGCATGGTGCCTCGTGCCTGTAATTCCAGCACTTTGGAAGGCCGAGGCGGGTGTGGATAACCTGAGGTCAGGAGTTCAAGACCAGCCTGGCCAACATGGTGAAAACCCATCTCTGCTAAAAATACAAAAATTAGCCAGGCATGGTGGCCTGCACCTGTAATCCCAGCTACTCGGGACATTGAAGCAGGAGAATCGCTTGAACCCAGGAGACGGAGGTTGCAGTGAGCCGAGATTGTGCCATTGCACTCCAGCCTAGGTGACAGAGCCAGACTCCACCTAAAAAAAAAAAAAAAAAAGAAGAATCTTTGAAATCAGTGTATTCTCTTGTGTATTAGTCTGTTTTCACACTGCTGTGAAGAAATACCCGAGACTGGGTAATCTATAAAGGAAAGAGGTTTAATTGATTTACAGTTCCACATGGCTGGGGGAGGCCTCAGGAAACTTGCAATCATGGCATAAGGTTAAGGAGAAGCAAAGACCTGCTTTACATGGCAGCAGGAGAGAGACGAGTGAGGAGCGAAGGGGAAAGAGCCCCTTATAAAACCATCAGATCTCGTGAGAACTCACTCACTGTCACAAGAATAGCATGGGGGAAACCACCCCCATGATCCAATCTCCTCCCACCAGGTCCCTCCCTAAACATGTGGGGATTATGGGGATTACAATTCAAGATGAGATCTGGGAGGGGACACAGCCAAACCATATCATCTTGTAATCTATTCCTTATTGAAAGTGAAAAATTTCATTGATTTTTTTGTGGGTTTGTATTTAGAATAAATATGATTATGTAACTCATTACATAGGATCATAGAGGTTCAGGGCCTAGAAGGGCCATAAGGTTATTGAATCCAACTCTTCTCCATCAATCTGAGAATCCCTGGGCACCCATTAACAGGCTGCCTAACTGGTGGAATTTTATGAAATTAGATCATGTTCTAGGCAGCATGCAGTGAAGAGTTTCTAGAAGGGAAACCTCTCCAGCCTGTCTATCTACAGATGGCCAGATGGAGCCTGCACATGTGGATCAGTGCTTTGTGGTCATATCTCAGGTCTCTGCTATTTCTGTCCCCAATCCGGGGCATAGACTGTCCATCACAGGGAAAGCCAGGAATGGTCAGTACTGAGGTGGAAGTTTTTCTGACACCATCTTTATCTAGATTCTGAAGTAAATACCAAATAACTACCAGAATGGCCTGACACTGTTTTCATCTGTATGTTGTTCCCTCTCTGATAGCATGGAGAGGCCTCAGGCCATTGCCAGAGCCCAGACTGCTTAGGTTACTTGGTCTCCAAAGAAGAAAGTGGGTGGAAATGGGCCATTTAGTATCAGGAATTTCTTGGTTTTCTCTTTTTAGTGGTGCACTTAACTTCTAATAGAGTCATTTAAAAAAAATAATGGCCACCTTTAGGTGTTCTAAGGCCCACCCTGCAGAGGCCACAGATAAGTATATTCACTTATCTGCGAATATGCTAATGGATTCACAACAATCAATTTTAGAATATTTTAATCACCCCCCAAAGAACTCTGGTACCAATCAGCCATCACCCCTTAAGTTCCCTACCTGTCCAGCCCTAGGCAACCACTAAGTTACTTTCTCTCTCTACAGATTTGCCTGTTTTGGACATTTCATATACATGGGGTCAAACAATATGTGGTCTTTTGCAACTGGCATTTTTCACTTCCCATAATATTTTCAAGGTTCATACATGTTGCAGCCTTTTATTCTTTTTTATTACTGACTAATATTCCATTGTATAGATATGCCACATTTTATTTATTCATCAATTGATAGACATTTGTTTTGTTTCTACTTAACAGCTATCAGGAATAATGCTGCTATGAATATCTGCATTCAAGTTTTTATGTACACACATGCTTTCATTTCTCTTAGATGTATATCTAGGAGTGAAATTTCTGGGTAACATGGTAATTCTATGTTTAATCATATGAGGAACTGACAGATTGTTTTCCAAAGTGGCTACACCATTTTACATTCACACCAGCAATATATGAAGGTTCCAATCTCTCCACATCCTTGTCAACACTTGTTATTATCTGTTTTTGTTTTTATTATACCCATCCTAGTGGATGTGAAGTGGTATCTTATTGTGGCTTTTATTGCATTTCTATGATGGCTATTGATGTTGAGCATCTTTTTGTGTTCTTACTGGGAATTTGTATATCTCTTTTGGAGAAATGTCTACTCAAATTCTTTGGATTTTGAATTTTTAAATTGGAGTGCTTGGACTTTTTATTATTAAGTTGTAAGAGTTGTTTTTGCCTTCTGGATTCAGGTTTCTTATCCGACATAGCATTTGCAAATATTTTCTCTTATTCTGTGGGTTGTCTTTCTACTTTTCTTTAAAATGCAAAAGTTTTTAATTTGGATGAATTAATGTTTTTCCTTTGTTGCTTTTCCTTTTGGTGTCATATGCAAGAAACTATTGCCTAAAACATGGTCAAGGAATTTTACTCCTGTGTTTTCTTCTAAGAGGTTTATAGTTTTAGGTCTTATGTCTAAGGCTATGATCCCTTTTGAGTTAATTTTTCATGTATAAAGGAATCCTTTTGCCCCTTGCTGTTAGAAATTTTCAGGTTCTGTGAGCCTGTAAGTGGCCCTGAGTTACCTCTTCTGCCTCCTTGCTAATAGGGCGTGACCTGTTCCCAATGCGGGTGACATCAGCCCTATTGCTCAATGAGCAGAATCAGTCCTTATTAGGGACTGTTCCTCCCTGGGGCTTTTCAAAGAAGTGACCAGAGCTCCAGTCACTGAGAGGACAGGCCCCGAACCCTTGCCTTTTCAGAGAAAAAAATAGAGATATTCTTGGTCTCCGAAGCTGAAATCCCAAGCTTCTTTTAGAGTCTGTAATGTCCTGATAAGCTTTCTTCCCTTTTCATTCAGAAAGAAAGTATTCAGTGGCTAGAGACATAAGGCTTCCTCTGTATCCAAAACAGCTTAACATGTTTTATAAGGAAACATACAAAACTAGCAACAAATACAAGTTTAAAAAAGTGACATCAAGCACCTTGGAATGATTGCTTTTGGTGTGAATGAGAAGAATAAGAGTTGGGAGTGGGGATGCGGAGTAAGGATGGGGAACTAGAAACAAGCCAACAAAATGAGATAGCACCCTTCACAGACCAACAATTACAGTGTGCAGATGTTGAAGATGGTGAATACTTCATCTCTGCTCCTCAGTGGCAGCAGGAAATTGGCCTATCATTGTAAATATATATATTTGTAAACCCTAGTATTTCTCAAGCACCAAAAAACGGACCCATCATTGTGATAGTTAACTTTCATAAATTATCTCATTTTACATTCCAAAAAATCTGCAAAATAGATTTTTTAACCAGCCATCTTACAAATGAGGGAGCCAGGGCTAAGTTTTACATAACTAACCAAATTCTATTGTCTTCATTATATAAGTACAGGTACCTAGAAGAGGCAGTTATGAATATGTAAGATCAAATGACCAACATAAGATTGAGTCTCAGTGACTTTGGTGTAAGCACATGAGTTGCCCTCTATCTGGAGAAATAAGCTACTGTCTTATTAGCAAGATCTGCAGTCACACAACGCTTTATGATTTGTAAAGGGCTTTGGTTTCCATTATTTCTTTTAATCCTGGTAGCTGTGAGTTTTACGTTACACATCACAGGTGAGGCACCTGAACCTCCCTGGGGTTAAAAGACTTTCCAGGATCACCTGGCATATAAATAGCTGAGCTAGAACTCAAACTCAGGTGTTTTGACTTTATATCCCATGCAGCTCATACTACACCGTCCTGAATCTCAATGAGAGGATTAGGAAACCTGAGATTCTTTATGGCATTTGTTAGAGAAATAAGGCAGGAGGGGGTTCTGAGCCTCGGTGGGCTCCCAGGGAGGAGAGGCAACACGAAAATATCACAGCGATTCACTGCCAGAGAAGGAGATGGGAATTAGAGGCATTTCCTAGGGGCTGCCTTTGATAGTATCCAGATTTCTGAAGAAATGCGCTTAGGGAAAAGCATAAACATACGGAAATACCTGTGCTTGCTGCTGTTTGGATGTGTTCTTAATGTAAATGCTGTTTATTACAATTTTTCCCTTCTAAATGTCTTCGTGCATTTTCCCCAAGTAGGTAAACAAGAAGCTGGGCTCAGCCATCTCAGTTGTTTTTTAATACTTATCCTGCACATGTCCAAATTGTGGCTTTACATGGCTGATCCTACCAGATTAACAATCTGGAATGTGAGATCCTGCATCACACTCAGAAAATACCTCTGAAAATGAGTTGGTATGAAATGATGTGTCTGTCGCTCATTTGGAACAGGCCCTGGCACTGGAGTCCCTTGGGGAACACTGGCCAATGGCCTTCTCCACCACTGCTGACCCCTGGGCAAAGCTGGAGGCCAGCTCAGTCATTTAATTTGAACAAATCCAATAGAAAATGGTAAATTGAGGCAATTAATTAAAATCATTCTTTTCCTCTTGACTCTTGCACCTTTTCAGCCTGGACAATTTAGTTGAAAGTGGTGATGGATGCCTGAATTATCCAGATAATTACTTCTTTCTCACTTCATTAATAACATCGCCGTGTCTCCTTGTGAGAAGTCAGATGAGCTATTTGCTCCCTTACTGGTCAGAAAAGTAAGAGCCTTCCTGAAAGGAGGGAGGCGGAAAGGTGGGAGAGTCAGGTGGCACAGGCAGCTTCTGAGCCTGCCTCACTGAGGACCGGCCCCATCCTCAGGGCAGGTCAGCTCTGGTCTTGAGCCTGATTCCCCTCCTGACAACGCTTCCTTCTCACCCCCATCTCTCACTCCCTTTCTCCTCTCTTTCTCTCTCCACAGCTCTCTCTCTCTCTCTCTCTCTCTCTTTCTCTCGCCCCACCACCAAATCTCAGCTGCAATCTCCACCCTCACTAGGAAGGTGGTCTGTCCTATTCTTCCTCCTCTTTCTCACCCTTGCCATCTGTTGTCCCAATACCTCTGAATTCGTTGGTTTTTTGAGTTATTTTATGAACGGGGATGATGGCAGATGTGGAATTCACTACTTTGCTGCCTTAACAAAGTACCACAGACTGGGCGGCATAAACAATAGACATTGATTTCCTCACAGCTCCGGATTCTGGAAGTTCAAGATTAAGGTACTGGCAGAGTTGGTTTCTTTTTTCCCCCTCATTGCTGGATTCGGTTGTTTGTTGTTGTTGTTGTTGTTGTTTTTGTTTTGTTTTGAGACGGTGTCTCACTCACCCAGGCTGGAGTGCAGTGGTGCAATCTCAGCTCACTGCAACCTTTGCCTCCCAGCTTCAAGCAATTCTCCTGCGTCAGCCTCCTGAGTAGCTGGGATTACAGGCAACCGCCATCACACCCAACTAATTTTTGTATTTTTAGTAGAGATGGGGTTTCACCATGTTGGCCACGCTGGTCTCGAACTCCTGAGCTGAGGTGATCCACCCACCTCAGTCTCCCAAAGTGCTGGGATTACAGGCGTGAGCCACCATGCCTGGCCTGGATTCGGGTTTTTAATATTTAAGGTTTTTTGGTATACACATATTCATAAGTTAAACGGGACTATATTTTTTCTATCCTTTTAATTTTACTCTATGTGTTTATAACTCTGATAAGCAGCTTATAGATAAATACTGTTTTAAAATTTAAAATTTTACTTTTTAAATTGACAGAATAATTATGCATATTCATGGAGTACATTTACATGGGATACATATAATGTAATCAGATTAGGGTAATTAGCATATTCATCATCTCAAACATTGATCATTTCCTTGTGTTGGGAACAGTCAATATTCTCCTTCTAGCTATTTGAAGCTATGTAACGTATTATTGTTACCTGTAGTCATCCTAAGGTGCTATAGAACACTTGAACTAAAATCTATCCTGCTGTAATTTTGTATCCTTTAACAAATCTCTCCCTATCCTTCCCGTTCCCCATCATTCCCAGCCTCTAGTATCCTCTGTTCTACTTTTAACTTCTATGAGATTAAAGCTGGTTTCATTTGAGGCCTCTCTCCTTAGCTTATAGATGGCCATCTTCTCCCTGCATCTATACGTGGTCTTCCCTCTGTGCATGTCTGTGTCCTAAGCTCTCCTTATAAGGACAACAGTCATATTAGATTAGGGCTCATCCTAACAACCTCCTCTAATCTCGTTACCTCTCTGAAGATCCTATCTGCAAATATAGTCACATTCTGAGGCATTTGGGGTTAGGGTTTCAACACATGCCTTACTTTGCTCGGGCTGCCTTAACAAAATAGCTTCAACAACAGAAATGTATTTTCTCACAGTTCTGAAGGCTAGAAGGCTGAGATCAGAAGGAGGGCTGTCTCCTTTGCTTTCAGACAGCTGCCTTTTCACTGCATCTTCACATGGAAGGAGGATGAGTGGGGAGAGAGCTCTCTGGCATCTTTTATAAGGGCATTAATTCAATCATGAGGGTCCTACCTTCATAAACTCATCTAAACCTAATCACCTCCCACAGGCCCCATCTCTTCATACCATCACACGGGGGATTAGGGCTTCAATATATGGATTTTGGGGGGCAGAACTGAGCCCCTAATAGCTGAACGGGAACCGCAAACAAAAATAGGTCTACACTTCTGGTATTTCCTGAGAAAGGCTTTTAAAATCTTTGATAAGATTCTGTCAACTGACTAGCTGACCAGGCACAGTAGTCCTAATGGTCTTGAGAGTGCCTCGAATGTGGCCTGCCCAGTGTCTGAGTGCTTCCTGAGATGGGCTTTGGTCATGGTGTGTGCGGCAGTGGAGAAAGGTTGGAGGTTGCCTCTAGGGCACAACACTGGCAGATTTGGTACTGTACTCTGGTGACCACACAACCATGAAATCCTGTGGCATTCATTCCAGGAGTAGGACAAATCCAGAAAACTACTGCCCTAGGACACTCATAAAGCCTTTCAGCAGCAGCAGAATAACCCAGGAAGAAGAACGATAAAGCTTGTTGACTTTTGCTCTTTGGAGGCTATCTTTCTCCTAGCAGAGTAAACGCATCTCTAGGGGATTAAAGGCAGGCTCCAGAGAGCTATCGACTCCCACGCACCTTCAAGCCAGCAATCCTTTTAGCTCAAGAGATAACATAGCCGCTAACCTTGGCCTTCTCAGGAAGGGCAGGTCAGGGCTTTGATGCTGTGAGTGATTTTGTTGGGAAACAAGAGATATAAGGGTGTCCCTTGCAAGAAAGAAACACACTATAAAAAAAACTATAAATTAGAAAAAGATTTATTTACATGAGATATTAGGCTTCTTCAGGAAAGTACTGGAAGAAATATTTTTGGCTATTCATTTATGAGATTTTTAAAGTGACATCATTGACATCAACCAGCCTAAAAAGAAAGACACAATAATAGCATATTTGGGAAAAAATGATATTAAACTAAGACAAAAAAATTATATTGGTGGTCTGAGGAGTGTGATGAACTCAACAGCAGTTTGGCTCCATTATGGTCAGAGCATTTACTGTCTGATTTCAATCTTTTAAATTTGTTGAGGCTTGTTTATGGCACAGAAGATGGTCTGTATTGGTGAACATTCCATGGGCACTTGAGAAAAAGCACGTATTCTGCTGAGTTTGGTGTAGTTTTCTACAAATGGCAATTAGATCTTGTTGGTTGAGGGTGTTGTTGAGTTCCTTTACATCCTTGCTGATTTTGTCTGCTGGTTCCATTAATTGCTGAGAATAGGGTATTGACGTCAGCACCTATAAATGAAGCTGGGGCTCAAAAGCCAAAACCAAACACACTGTGGCCTCCAGCTCTCAATCAATCAATAAATCAGTGACAAAGCATGTATTGGTTAATTTCAGCATCCTTGGCCGTATCCTGGATGGTGAAGGAAAGAGGAGATATGGGCTTAGTTAAGAAAACTTGGTATTTACATCATGTATGAAATAGATATGTATAGGTTCATGCTGATGTGCTGAAACATTTGTAACTTCCCTTTCTAAAGATTTTTTTTTTTTTGAGATGGAGTTTCACTCTTGTTGCCCAGGCTGGAATGCAATGGTGCAATCTTGGCTCACTGCAACCTCTGCCTCCCGGGTTCAAGCGATTCTCCTGCCTCAGCCTTCCGAGTAGCTGGGGTTCCACCACACCTGGCTAATTTTTGTATTTTTAGTAGAGATTGGGTTTCTCCATGTTGATCAGACTGGTCTCAATCTCCTGAGCTCAGGCAATCCACCTGTCTTCGCCTCCCAAAGTGTTGGGATTACAGGCGTGAGCCACCACGCTTGGCCTTTAAAGATTTTTATGTGTTCAGTCAATTCATCCTGTTAGCCAGACTTGGTTCTAGGTAACCATATAGAGCAATAAGAAGAAAGGCAGGCCTTCCACATGCTGGGTGATCTATGGAGCAGCTTACTCTTGTTATAGAACAAGTGGATCCTACACAGACCCAGAAGATACCCACCATTTATGCAGGGCTAGGTACTGATGCTTCCTTTGTTCATGCATCTCTTCTTTTTAAGGATGTGGACTACCAGCGTGGCTAGGAACTCAAGCTCTGAAGCCAGGGGCCTTTTCAGTTCTGCCACTCACTAGCTGTGTCATTTGGGGCATGGTATTTAATTCCTTGGGCTTCTGTTTCCCTATCTGTAAAAAGGAGATCACAATAAATGATACCTACCTGACAGGGTTTTGTATTTATTAAATAAGTTAATACAGATAAGGCACTTGGCACAGTGCTGGTACTTGGTTAATAGTCCATAAGTATTAGTTATTATCATTTGTCTACCAATATATCCTTTCACGTTCAGTTCCCTTTCTTCTATGGGTATGGGTCATTCCAGTGTGCAAACATAACATCCACTTCAGACTCTTCCCCAAGGATACCAAGATGAGTACAAAATGTTTTTCTTTTAGTTTACTTCTAGCAAGACCTATATAAATAGTCAAACTATAAGACCAAATATCACCTTAAGAGAGATAAAGTGGCTGCTGGAGTCATGGGTGGTGGCCAAGTAAGATGAACTGTTTTTACAAAAGACCCCAAACCTCTGAGAGATTTTGCAAATCATTCCTTTGGATGCTTGCAGAATGGTCAATGGACATTTTTGTGCTATTTGTGTTTTACTAAAGATGTCCATGTTATATCTTTTTTTACTAGGTGGAATTTCACATTTTTAGTGGAAATGCCAACTTCTTATTTTATACAAAATTTGCTTTTACTTCTTATTTTGTATCTTTATATCTTCAATGCAGTTTCTGCAGAAACTTTGAAGCTTTCAAATTATTTTTTCAGGTAGGCTATCCTTTCATCTCTTTAACATCTATGTAAAACAAGTAATAATCTTCTCAGTTAATTTATAAAAAATCATCCAAAGCATAACTATGGGATAGCATTTGCAATCCAATCAAAAAAATCCATGCTTTGGCTGAAAGTTGAGTTGCCTTTGAACTTCCTGAATGGTGTAGGGGATGAGCAGGGCTGCCCCGGCCACCAGTATCCAGGACCCCAGCCCCCAGTCAGGGATGGAAAGTAAACCCTCACAATAAAGTCTGTTAGAGAGTTTCTTATGTTAAGGAATTCAGAGCTGGAATTCATCATTTTGTGATTTTTTTATGGTAGGGAAATACTTTCAACGTTTTAGTTTCATTGAAGATGAATACTACATGACAAAATGCCCCTCCCATTCACTAATCCAATCAGTTGTTCCAAACCTTCTCAAGGCTGTGACTCTCCCAGATCTAGCTGTGGCACCCTCACAAGGGAGAAAGGACTTTCAGCCCTTGGGGAAGTCTCTTAGTGTCCTATAATCTTCTTTACCTCATCCCCCAAGTATAGGGGTTTAATTAAGTAGGCCAAGATTCTTTAATTTTTATTCTCCCTCCTCTCACCCTCTGAATTCTACATTAATTATTTTCTGACCATCACAACTCTTTTAAAACCATACTATCATACCATTCAAAAGATGTCCATTACAGGGTCTGATTTCAACTTATACACACGTTCTCAATATATATTTATGGACTGTCAAGGTTTTTGTATGCCAGGTTAAGGATTCTAGATTCCCCATAAAAAGGAAGATTCAGTGAGGAATTTTATATATGGAGAGATGAATCCTGCAGAAACAAAAACACTTAGATGTAGGACAGGGAAAACAGGAACACAGAAAAGAGAGTCCCAAGAAGTAAGAAAAGATACAGAAGAGAGTGGTGGTGCCCATCTTGCCTGCCCCAACCCTCTCTAGGTGGAGATGGCCATTGAAGGCTCAAGTCTAGGCTCTGCCCACCTGGGCTCTGAGCCCATGAGACCAAGGCCCACAGGATCTGCCCATGAGACACCTCTTCCTCACTAATCAGTCAAGCCAGTAGCGGGTCTTCCTGTCCTAAACCTGGTTCCACTGTGCACAGAGAGCCCCTGAGTCCCATGTCCTAAAACATGTGAAGGTTGATTAGACAAATTGGGTCATTCTTGTCATACTGAACCAAATAAGACTCCAGGGGCCAAGGGGAAAAAGCACTTGGGGCACAAAGCACCTGCTCCAAGAATTAAATTTTCTCCAAGCCCGGCTGCTAAAACAGCCTGGTGTAACCCTAAGACCAGTTTTGCCTAGTAGCTGCTAAAACAACCTGCCTCTAAGACTAATTTTACCTACCACTGTCACTCACCAGTCAGAGCTTGCCAGCTCCCAAAAGCTTCTTTAGTGCCAAAGAGTTTTCTTTCAAAACAGTATGTGATATTTCTCTTTCTGATAAAACTCCCAATCCTCTTTTTGTTCTTCAGACCTAGGGAAGACCAGGGAGTCTGCGTGTTTGCCTTGAATTGGAATTCTTGCTTCCCAAATAAAAGGTTTTAAATTTGGAGATTTGTCTCTGTATATTATTTGACTTCAGCAGCTGCAGTCTCTGTGAAAGCAGTGGTGCAGCACAATGGTTCAGAACTGTGGCATCTGAAACTAGCTGGCCTGGGCTTGAGCCCTACTTAGGCACTTATTAGTCATGTGATTTTGAGCAAGTCACTTGACTTTCTTATGCATTAGTTTCCTCACTCTAAAGATGGGAATAAGCGCAGCCCTGCCTTATAAAGTTACTCTTGTGATAATAATTAAATGAATTAACATGGCTTAACAGCATCTGGCAAAAGTAGGTAAGGACTTATACAAACATTAGCTGTGTACATTGTTGTTATTGTTACATTGTAACGTGTGCACAAATCATGGTTTGCAGGACATCTCCACTTACTGGAGCTCCCATGGCTGATGCGCTGCCAAACCCTTGCTAGCTCCTCTTCTGTTGCCCTCTGCTTCAAGCAGGGTGGACTTTCTCTGGAAGTAAAATGCCAGCACCTGTCTATTAGTTTGAACCATATATGACATTGCCATTTTTTGTAGGTCACAAATTATTGAACATTGACAATTTTCTATGGTTTAATCTAAAATAAGTAATGCTCTTGGCATAAACCTGCAAACAAACAACTGCACTTCACACTCTGAATTATGACCTTGACCTCCGTTTTGAGAACCAGCTTTAGTGTCAATTCTTTGAGTCCTAGACTTGCCCATTTTGGGCTTGCTACCTCCTCTGTTAACCCTAGGGCTGAGGAATGATAATAATGATGATAATAATAGGGGATCCTCTATAGCTAAAGGGTATATATGATAGTTGCAAGGGGAACAGAAATCACTCTAACTTAGAATAGTGTGGCTGGTATATTTACCCTCAGATTAGAGTAGTTATAACATAAGGCATAGATGGCCAGATGGTATCCTTTCACCCCATCTGCCTCATAAGGATCCCTAACTTCAAAAGTCTAATGTTAATTAGTAAGTGATAGTTGTCAACTTCTAGTTTAACCTTAGAATATTTATATATCATGGGACAACTTCCTAGGCACACAGTACTGTCACAAAAAGCTGTTATTTCCATACCAACAGAAACGTGGGCGAAGCATATAAACAGACAGTTCCCGGTAAGGGACAGAATTCTTAAATTAGGTGCAGTGGCTCATGCTTATAAACCCAACACCTTGGGAGGCCAAGGCAGGAAGAGTGCTTGAGCCCAGGATTTCAAGACCAACCTGGGTGATAAAAAGTTACAAAAAAAAAAGGGTTTGTTTTGTTTCGTTTTTTTAAAAAAACTGGGCATCGTGGCATGCACCTGTGAGTCCCAGCTCCTGGGGAGACTGAGGGGCTTGAGCCGGGGATGTTGAGGCTGCAATGAGTCATAATCATGCCACTGTACTCCAGCCTGGGTGATAGAACAAGACCCTGCCTCAAAAACAAACAAACAAACAAACGAACAAAAAATCCAGCCATAATTACACTGAGTTACACATGATAAACTTCCTACGAGTTGGAGAGTGATACATCCCTCCAGTGAGATGTGAGGGAAGAGGGGACTGATACTCCTATTGACTCACTTCTCTGGACCCACTTCCTATTGTTTCTCCAGACTTAGTTTCAGGTTTGAAGATAAAGCTTCTTTAAGAGGTCAGTTAGAAAATGCAAGATCATCTTGTGTTTATGTGCCATATGCTCTTTTCATGACTCTCATTCGTCTCATCTCATCTCATCTCATCTCATCTCATCTCATCTCATCTCATCTCTTCTCTTCTCTTCTCTTCTCTTCTCTTCTCTTCTCTTCTCTTCTCTTCTCTTCTCTTCTCATCCCATCCCATCCCATCCCATCCCATCCCATGCCATCCCATCCCATCCCATCCCATCTCATCTCATCTCATCTCATTGGTCCTGTCCTGAGTCCTGTTGAGTCCTCGGTGCTGTGCTAGCCACACAGGAAAGACATACATGACACTATCCTTGCCCTCCAAAAAAGTCAGAAAGGCAAACAGTAAGTAGAAGAAAATGTTAGAATCCTGATGCATCTTCTTTGCTCCTGATTCAGGATTCAGGAGCTTATTTTCCCCCAGTATTTGGGTAAACAGCCAAACAATTGAATCTCACATTCTAGGGTGGAGTGGAGAGACATCACCTTGCCATAATACATCGGCTTTCCTGGGAGTAAAGTCAAGTTGGAATGCTGTCTGTCAGCGGCAGTTCCACTGGATATATCAAACCCTGCATCTCTCCTCTCCTTTTTTTTTTTTTTTTTTGTGGTGAGGATGATGGAGTAAATATCTCCTTGGTACTCTGAGAGCCTGCAGAGAGAGGTGTTTGCATGAGGAGGCAGGAACCTATTCTATTTGGATTGAGAACTTTTTGCAGTCACAAGTGATGAGTGACAGCAAAAAAAAGTTATGAATTATAGTTTATTATTTCCATTACTCTTCCCACCTCTCCCTGGGCTGGGAACTTCTTTCCTGGGCAGAGACAGATACCTTTTACCTGTCTGGCTCTGCTTGTGGTGTTTTAAGAGGGCAGCAAGTTGGCCTCCAAGGGTTTCTTTCCATCCTGTGATTTGTATATTCCTGGATTTGCTGACGTGTTTCAGACAACAGACTAATTGCTCTGCCTGTGTTGTTCTCCCTCCTGCTTTTGAAGGATCTTATTTCACGTGTTGTGCCCTCTCTCTCCTATTTCCAGATTCTGCTTGTTGGCAACATGGTCATTCCAAGCATTGGAATTAGGCTTGGGTGTACATTCTGTTTCAGGTCTCAGTGATTGGGGTGGCAATAGGCGCAAATTGTTTAATTTCTTAGAATCCGTTTTCTCATCTTTAAAAGGTCAATAAGAACCATCTTGTTACTGCACAGATTTTGAAACCAGATCTTTGGTTCCATTTTGGCTGTTTTTGGTTCCATTTTGCTGTTACTTGGCTGTAAGCCCTTGAGATCAGCTTTACTTCTCTGCTCCTCAGTTTTCTCACCTGCAAAGTGGGGGTGATGATACCACTAACTTCATAAGGCTTGTGAGGATTAAGTGAAGAAATAAATGTAAAGTGCTTATAACAATGTCTGTCATACATTAAGTACCCAATAGATATTAAATATCATTATTATCTGTCAGTGTCATTCTGAGGATTAACTAGGAAAACATGCATAAAGTGATTAGAACAGTGCATATAAAGCATGCTATGTTGTTTCCGTATGAATCTTGTCAAATCCCTACTACCTTAAAAATATTTTTTTCATCCTGAATCACTAGCTACTCCTCTCTTTATTCCTCCTGAATTTTCCCACAATGTACTTCTCCAAAATGTAGATCACACACGTTGTCTCCATTTTTCTCACTTCCATTCACTTCTCAGCTCAATGCAATCCAGTATAGGCCCTCTCCATCACTCAAAAACGTGGAAACTGTCCTATTAATGTTGCCAGAGCTCATTGAACAAACCCAGGGGCAGCATCTGAATCTTTATCCTGCTTGACCTGCCTACAGCTTTTGACACTGATGTGCATTGCATACTTCTCGAAGCCCTTCTCTCCACTGGGTTTCATGTCATCACTTTCTGCTAGTCCTCCTGCCGTCTTGCATGCAGGACCTTTGCAGCTTGCTTTACAACTGTTGCTCTCCCTCTTCTTTAAACATCAGTCTTCTCCCGGGCTCTGTCCTTGTTACTCTTTATTTCACCTATTCTGTGGCTTCAACTTCTACCTCTATGCTGAGAGCTCCACATTTATAGCTTCAGCTCAGTTTCCTTCTCTGAGCTCCTCACCTAACAAATATAATGGACAAACCCAACCAATTTGATGTCTTGGAGGCATCTTAAACACAAAGTGTTTAAAACTGAATACATCATCTCACCTACCCTTGACTCTTAATAAGTCTCTTCCCTGTGTTCCTTCCTTGTATTAGTAAATGGTACTGCTGTCCTTCATATGTCCAAGCCGGAAACCTAAGAGTCATCATAGTCTTTTCCCCTTTTTTTTTTTTTTACTACTGCATCCCATCAATCATTAAGGCTAAGAAGTATGCTTTTTAAATATCTCCTCCAACCCTTCTCTACTGCCTCAGATGTGAACATGGCTCTCCTGTGTTATTATAATAGTCTCCTTGCGCTCCAGTTGCAGCTACACAAATCATTGTGTGGTCCCCTGAATATTTCACGCTCGCTCACGGCTCTGAGTCCAGGATGATGCCTATGTCTGCCTGGAATGGTTCCTTCCCATTAGTTTGAAAAACAGAATTAAAATCTTCTCTAGCCTTCCCTGATGTCCCTGGCACATTTAGTTGCTGCTCCGAATGCTACCCATGGGCTTTGAATGTATTTCCAGTGTGGTAATATCTAATTTTACTATAACTGTTCACTTGGCCGTCCATCTATCCGTTACTATGAACATCTTAAAACTGAAGGCAACGCCTTTTCATTTTTGTCATCTTAGTGCCAGGCACACCAAAACCTTTCCACCTGGATGCCCCACAAACATCTCAAATATGACATGCTTGCTGAATGACTGAATGAATGAATTTGTTGAACAAATCTTTTCTATCTTCTGTGTCTTGAGTGTGGGACACAACTATCTTCCTCACTTTCGGTGACAAATATTTCATCACCTCTTGGTTGACAGAGATGTTAACTAACACTAAAACATGTCAGTTCTCATTGGCCATTTATAACTTGTCTTTTTCTCAAGCCCCAGCTACCTATAAGAAGTGATAAATGAAACTTATCCAAGGTAAGTCTGTTGTTCCATAGAAAGAGCATCCTTTGAATTAAAGCACAGCATTGATAGGAGTGCTTCCTGGGTGCACAGTTGGATTTGAACAGGATGTTGATATTTCAGAGTATAGTTTTTACCTGGCATGTATTTTAAAGGATTAATAAAAACAAGTTGGAGAATTATTTGCAGGTCACTTTTTTAAAGTTCTGTATACAAACACAAATACACACACACATATTTCATTTGCAAATCTAAAAACATTTACTGAGCTACAGTACAACCCATCAATCCTACTTCTGGGTATTCATCCAGAAGAACTAAAATCAGGATCTCAAGGAGATATCTGCATTTCTGTGTTCATTGCAGCATTTTCCCCAATACCCAAGATGTAGAAACAGCCTAAATGTTCATTGTCTTGACAGATGAATGCAGGTAAAGAAAATGTGATGTATGCAAACCATGGAATACTATTCAGCTTTAAAAAAAGAACATTTTACAATAGGTGACAACATGGATGAACTTTGAGGACATTAAAACAAGACATGGAAAGATAAATCCAACATGATTCTACTTTTAATGAGGGATATAAAATAGTCAAATTCATAGATTCAGGGTAGGGATGGTGGTTGCCAGGGGCTTGGGGAAAGGAAAAATGGGGAGTTATTAATCAACAGGCACAAAGTCTCAGTAAGGCAAGATGAATCATCTCTAGATATATGCTGTACAACATCATGCCTATCATCAGCAATAATGCATTACACACTTACAATTTGTAAGAAAATAGATTTCATGTTAAGTGTTCTTGCTACAATAAAGTAAAACAAAATACTTACTAAATAACAAAGGAAAAAATTTCACATCTTAGTGCAGTAGATGGTTTTTAGCAATTTCTACTATCTGTTGGGTCACACTTAACATAGAGAATGCTTTTGCATTGTGTCTTGTGAAATTTGTTCTAGCTCTACACTTTATAAAACTTTGTTATACTCTGAGAAAAGGCAGAGAGTCCACTTTTTAATTCTTTTTTATGACTCAGTAATGAGATACAATTTTTATTTTAACGAAATTCTTTGCGATTTAGAAAAATGAAGTAGTTTCAAATTGGAAATCTAAACTCTCTGGTACATGGACCACCAGCTCACTTCTTAAGCAAAAGAACCAATCAGTTAATAACAATGAAACATAAAGCTATGAAGGGTAGAATATATTTATCATTTCTCAGCTATGTGAAAAATGCCACCATGCCAGCTTTCATCATCTTTCCCCTTATCATCTAAATGTATATTTGAAATACAGCATCATAAACTAAATGGATGTTTTTAAGTTGTCATGTTAGACTTTCGCTGGTCATAAAGCTGGCTGATATTATTTTCTATTATCTGAGCAGCCAATCAAGGCTTTTTAAATACAAATCTTATACAACTCTCCAAAATCAATGTTACATAACTAAATGCACCTGGTGTGCTTAACTGTTAATTTTTCCTATCCTTTATTACTCAATGAGTAATGAATCAATTATGATAGAGACAGTTATCAATTTCGAATATTAAAAAGAATAAATAGAGGACAACATACTTTTTCTAAAGCCCAACTTTTTCACTTGTTGTCAGATCACTGAATTTAGTGAATGAATTAATTTTGCTAATGTTAATTATCTGTAAGAAATGTATTACCCTAAATAATCAGGATTAAAACAAGCCCATGGTGTGGCTTTCTTTTTTTTTTAAGTTGAGGTATTATTACACAAAGAAAAAGAAGCAATTCTAAATTATGTATGGAATTAATCTTGGTTGGACTTGGGTAAGCCACAATGGGAAATTAGGCGACAGTTAATCTTCTGATAAATACATCTGGATTTAGACTACACAATTGTTTAGAAGTTATTTGGGAACTTAGAGGACAATTCCTCTAGGTAAATTGTTTCCCCTAAGTTCCCAGCAATGGGGTGATTCTGAGGCTAAAACAAATAAAACCCCCCAAGCCCCCCAAAACTGTCTTACCCACAACAAAAGAGAAGCACAACAGCCCAATAATTTTAAAGAATAAAGCTAGATCTGCTTAGATGCAAATTTTTAAAAATCAGATTGTATAGACACAATATGATCAAATATACAATTAGCAAAGATAAGCCTCTGAACTGCAATAAGCCAACTCAAAAAAAAAAAAAAAAAATACACGACGGCCCAGCCGGAGATAAGAGAGTCAGCCCAGTATTTTCTCTCCATGTTTTTAAGAGCAGCAGTTATGGTGACAGAATCTACCACAGGGTGATCTATGCTCTCCACACCGATGACAGAAGTGACATTCACTGCATTGCACAACAAATTGTTTTCAACTTACTTGTTTTTGGACATGCTGCTGCAGTCGGAGGGAAATTGGAAATCTTGTACACACCTTATAAGGAGTAACATATGACACTGCATTTTTCAGGAAATCAGTTGGACCTCAGATTTGGTCAAAGTACTTCTAGATCCCATTGAAGTGGTGATACTGTGATGCTGAGAATCTGCTCTGAGCACTTGTTTAGTTGATATTGGGGCAGTAAACCATATGGAAGGTAGATTCTGTCACTCTAAAGATTTTCTCCTCCTTTTCATCCAGGGTTATATGACTATTCTTCTTACTACAAGAATGGCAAAATTACAGTGGAGGAAACTAATCATTAAATTTTTTTTTTTTTTTCTTTTTTTTTTTTTTTTTTTTTTTTTTTTTTTTTACCACAGAGCTCTTTGATCATCTGGTAAGAGCTAACGACCTCTTATAGAAATCTACAAATGCCCAGAAAATTTTGCACAGAACTTCAAGAGGTTACTCAGCTACTGAAATCCATCCCTGGACCCCCCGAAACTCCTTAATTAAGATGTTTACTGTGACAACTGGAGGATCAGGTTCATACCTTACTCTTCTCTGTCTGTGACATGACTTTTACCCCTGACCCAGACAGAGCCTTCAATATTGCCCCAGAGACCCACCTTGCCTTACAGTGTCTTGATAGTGGAGCCACACCAAGCTACTCAGGCAAGATGTGTCACTGATAACTCCTCAGTGCAGATATCAAGTTTCTGTAAGAATGTCCTAGTGGCAAAAGTTCACACTAAGCACAGTACATCAAGAATACAAATACAGCAAGTCTGGGGTGACAGATTTTCTACATTGTTCTACTTTCTGCCTCTCCCTCTTCCCTGGTCTATAGTTACCGTGCATAGTGACAGGCCAGACAGACAGACCACACTCCCCACTTGGCTCAGACTCTGTCCTGTACTCTGGCTCTTTCTCTTTTGTTTCTCCATGAGCCAAATTCTTTAGGAATTGCTCTGAATGAACCTCCTGGAAATCTCTAGGATCCCAGCTGTATCTCCCCTTTGTGATGTCTTTGTTACTGAGGAGTAATTAATTGTTACCTGGTGTGACATTTAAATATTCTTAGTATTCTGTCATTGTTTCTGACCATCCTCCTTCTGTAGCTAGGTCCTTGAGAGCAAGATGTCTATGGATATTACCCCTTGGAGCTAAGAAATGGATCAATTGAGATACGTTTCAATACTGGATTGAACTATTAAAGCATTAGGCAGGTAGCAAGGCTGAATCAAAATAGTCTTAGGAACATTGGAATAGGAAGGGCATGCTGTCTCCTCTGCGTTTTTCAAACTTTTTGAAAGTGATGCATTGTAATAAATCTTTTCCCCATTACGATAGAGTATACAAAATATGTGTAATAGAGACAAAAATTATCTGAAACAAAATTTACCCATATTACATGTGCTGCACTCTATTTTCTATTCTGTTCAATTTTATATTAAAAAAACAATAAGAAACACTGTTCACTGCCCATTACATGGATTTCATGACCCACTAATAGGTGGCGACTTGTTTGCAAAACACTGGCTTATCCCATGGGATTGGATTAAACTTGACAAGGAATTCTGCTCTGCCTTGCATTCTTCTCTAAAATCCATAAAAAGGTTTTTTTTTCTATTTATTAATTTACATAATATTCAAAGAGAATCCTTATAACAGTTCTGAACTGGGTTTTATATTAGGTTTCACAGATAACAAGTGGCAAAACTCATCGCCATAACCAGTCTTGGCATTTCAAATCGACGGCTATTTCCATCTTATCATGCTGCAATCTATCATCTGATTTTTCCCTGCCTAGACTCCCCACCTTGGCTGGAAGTACCCAAAAAGCTAGGAATGTACCTTAGCCATGCTAGGTACCCAGGAGGCACTTAATGAATATATGATAAACAGAATGGAATAACACTCTTGGTCAAAAGCCATGTCTTGGCTTGGCATGTTTTGGGACATCTTTGTTCCAAAACCTTATATAATTCTCTCTCTCTCTTTTTTATTATACTTTAAGTTCTAGGGTACATGTGCACAACATGCAGGTTTGTTACATATGTATACATGTACCATGTTGGCTTGCTGCACCCACCAACTCGTCATTTACATTAGGTATTTCTCCCAATGCTATCCCTCCCCCCACCCCCCTACCCCATGGCAGGCCCCGGTTTGTGATGTTCCCCGCCCTGTGTCCATGTGTTCTCATTGTTCAACTCCCACCTATGAGTGAGAACATGTGGCGTTTGGTTTTCTGTCCTTGTGATACTTTGCTTAGAATGATGAAAACCTTATGTAATTCTTAATAATCATACTTTCTTCATACTCTATGCGCCATTCATTAATGGGTTGGCACTGGAAACATTTCCCAAGCTTATAGGGAATTCTTCAATGAACATAGAGGAGCTACTGAGAGCTAAACACTCTTTGGTTCCTGCCTGTGATTGAGTTTTTCCCAGAACTCAAAGAGAGAATTTCAGAAAGGCCAATAAAAGCCCCCAACAGGAGAGTTTTTGTTTTTGCTAGTTTTCCCAAACAGCTGGCTTCCCTAAGGCTGTAATTTGTAAGCCTGGTTTCTACCAGACTCTAAATCCATAATCAATGATAAGCTATCAAGCATATGCCCTAATTTATATTACTTTGGGCCTTTTCTAGCCAAAACCAACATCCCTGGGGAAATACCAAAATACATCTGTCCTAAGGTAGATACCTTATGTCTGGGGAGGTAGGGGGTGGACAGCTAAGACTTGGTATTGAACAGGACTGAGTAATCGTCTAATGAATGAATGAGTGTATGGATAATCAAAGTGCAAATGCCTGCTATACATATGTAGGTATTCAGAATATTTTATATGCATTTATATGAGGCTCTTTTCCCTGATGACCTAGGAAGGGAAAAGACGGCAATAACATAGTCTTGTGGGTACTTGGGGAAGAAAAGTCAGGTGGAGAGAGAGAAACTGAGGGGAGCAAACAGAAGGTAAGGAGAGAAGAATAAAAGAATGAGAGGGAAACATCTGGCCGGAAAAGCAGGAAGGCCAGCAGCTCTGAATGCAGATCACAATCTTTGTTAGTCATCTTTATCTTACTGGTTACTTTGCTACTCAAAGTACACATTTCCTATGGTGGAAACTCCCTTGTTTACTTATTCTTCCTGACCCAGGTTTAAAAGGCCTGCCTAACCATCTCAGTAGGCTTTTCCTAGCTGATATCCTTCTGAGCTGTGGTAGAGAAAGGGGAAGCAGTGCCCTCATGGCTCCTGGATTTACAGTTCCTGAGGAAGAACTGACAAATAGAGGAAGACTTCCCTAATATCAAATGAAGCAGAACCTTCTGGGCAGAAGGAAAACAGGTGATGTTGCAATGACAGGGCTCACCTTTCCACCTCGTGTTTGATGAGGGTTTGAGAAAAGAGCCACATTCTTTCCAAAAGTCAGGTCAGAAGCCTTTCCACACTTTGGTTTCCCAATTCAGCACCCGTAATGTCAAATAAAACGAAGGCCCTTGCCCCAAGTGAAGTCATCAGCAAATATCTCTTTGCTTTCCGGGGGACTGTGTTCTCTCACAACATCTTTTGGAATTATCACTTCATACTGAAACAAGGGTTTGATCTTTTCATGAGATGTATGGTGATGAAATTAAGGCCAGGGGCTCTGGGGACAGAAGAGAAGGCTGGCGCCACTCGTATGCCCTGGAGAAACAGTGAGATGAAGAGCACAGCCTCTAGAGCCAGAGTGTCTGGATCTAAAATTGGCTCTGCCAACAAGCATGTAAGTCACATAGCTTTTATATGTTTCATATGAAAATGGAATAAAAGTCTTATCTATAGGAATAAATAAGTCAATAGAAGTGACGCACTTAAAACAGTGTCTGCGTATAGTAGGCATTCAGTGAGGTGCTGGCTATTACTGGGGTGTGAGAACAGAAACAGTCATTTGCTCAATCCCAAGTTTATTTTGGTACTTTGTTTCTTTCTTGTAATAAGGACCAGTAGTTTCAAGAATCCTAGAACGTTAGAACTGAAAGGAACGTTCATTTTATGGCTATGTAAGGCTCAGAGAGAGTGGAGCCCTCCAAGGTCACGCAGCTACCTGGTGGCAGTTTCAAGACCAAACACCAGGCTTCCCATTTTCTGGACCACTCTCCACTCTACCACCCTCCTTCCTTGGAGGACGATGTCCAGGACCAAGATAATGCTGTTAGGGCAATGATAACAACTGGAACTGTAGTAGCCCCTCCAACGGCTCCCTTGTCACTACAAAGACAATCTTAAGCGGGTTCATTCATTCATTCATTCACTCAGCACTGCTTTTTAAGCTATTCTCAAACAGTACAGAAAAGCGAAACACAGTTCTCATTCTTAAAGAGCTTCTATTGAAATTAGAGCAATAAGATATGAAGATAAAATTATACAATAGTACAATCACTTACATTATACAATATTTATATAATTATATTTTATAAATATAAATATATTTTATATTTATAAATTATACAATAATACAATCATTTATGTTAAGTGTCTAAGTATTAGACAGCTTACATATATTCTATCTAATCAGTTGCTAGTAAAAGAGTTTACATTAAGGTTAATAACATTATGAATTCCTAAAATAAATGAAACCAAGCAAGCAAGGAAAAAGATGTGCAAAGCAGTTTGGAGGTTTAATAAGACAAAAAAAGACACCTGGCTAGAAGGATCAGGAAAGTCTTCATGCAGTAAGAGTAAGTGGCATTAGATGTGGGCCCTGAAACATGAATAGGTAACAGAATTAGAATGTGACCTTTTCCTCTCTCCTCCATGAATAATTACTTTCTAAATATAAATATACGCAAATGTATACATATACTCGTACAAAGAAATGAAATACAATTCTACATAAATTTTCTATGGAATTTCAAAGACAAGTAAAACATAAATGAATCCAAAAGGCAAGAACTTCCAGCACTTCCACCCTATTCTGTGCAAGGCAATTGAAGAATAAGAGGGCTTGTTTTAAGAATTATCATCACATATGAACTTCTAGTTCATCTGTAACAGTGGTTCCCAACCTTTTTGACACCAGGGACTGGTTTTGTGGAAGACAGTTTTTCCACGGATGGGGATCGGGAGTGAGATGGGACTGGGGTGTGGGGGTGATAGTTTCAAGATGAAACTGTTCCACCTTAGATCATCAGGCATTAGATTCTCATAAGGAGTGCACAACCTAGACCCCTAGCATGAACAGTTCACAACAGGGTTCATGCTCCTATGAGAATGTAATCCGCTGCTGGTCTGGCAGGGGGCAGAGTTCAGGCCATAATGCTGGCTTGCCTGCCACTTACCTCCTGCTATGTGGCCTGGAACCTAACAGACCAGAGAGTGGTACTCGTCTGTGGCCTGGGCTTGGGGACCCCTGATCTATAGGATACAAGACAAGTCACTCCTCACAAGGAAGAAGGATGGTCATGATCAGATTTGGAGAGACAAGCTGATAGACTGGATTTCTACTGCCACCATGCCTGTGTATCAGTGGAGGTCTTAAGTAAATTATTGGATAATACTGCAGGAGGACAGTCAGAGCCACTGCAGGACTCCAGGCTAGATAGGGAAGTGGGGGTAAAAATACAGAGAAGGACATTTGTTCTATAATGCAGACTGTTTTCCAAAGCAGCTACACTATCTTACATTCCCATCAGCAATGAAGCAGGGTTCCAGCTTCTCCACATCCACATTATCTGTCTTTTCAATTACGGTCATTCCAGTGAATATGAATTAATATCTCATTGTGGTTTCAATTTGTATTTTCCTGATGGTTAATGATGTCAAGCATCTTTTTGAGTGCTTATAGGCAATTTGTAAATCTTCTTTGAGAAATATCTGTTCGTGTCCTTTGTCCAGTTTTAAACTGGGTTGTCATTTCATCCTTGAGTTGTAATAATTTTTTATTACGGCTACAAGTCCTTTACCAGATATATGATTTGCAAATATTTTCTTCCATCCTTTGGTTTGTCCTCTTACTTTCTTTATCTTATGTTTTGAAGCACAAATGTTTTATAATTTTGATGAAGTCCTATTTATGTCGTTTTTCCTTTTGTCACTTATGCTTTTATTGTCATTTTTAGGAAACCACTAAGAAACCAAGGTTACACAGATTTACTTCTATATTTTTTTCTAAAAGCTTTATAGTTTTAACTTTTACATGAAGGTCTATGATCCATTTTGAGTATTTTTTTTTGGCATGGTGTGAGAAAGTGGTCCAACTTTACTTTAAAAAAATAAACTTTACTTTTTAGAAATTTTAGATTTACAGAAAAAATTGAGAAGATAGTACAAAGATTTCCCATATATGCTACGTTTCCCCTATTAGTGTGGTATATTTGTTACAACTAATGAACCAACAGTGATAAATTATTATTAACTGAAGTCCATAATTTATTCAGATTTTTCTAAGTTTTATATAATCTGCTTTTTTTTTTTTGTTCTGGGATCTCATCATGGATACCACACTACATTTGGTCATCATGTCTCCCTAGGCTTCTTTGGCTGTGACAGTTTCTCTGGCTTTTCTTGCTTTTAATGACCTCAACAGTATTGAGGAGTAGTGGTAGGACATCATAAAGTGTCCTTCTGTTGGGATTTAACTGATGTTTTTATTATGATTAGAGTAGGGATATATGCCTTTAGACTGGGCTAGGGATATGTGTTTTGCAAATATTGTTTCCCAGTCTGTGAATGGTTCTTCATCCTCTTAAAAGGTCTTTTGCAAAGAAGAAACTTTTAATTTTAATGAAGTTCAACCTATCATTTTCTTCTATATTTTCTTTTGGAAGTTTCATAGTTTTGTGTTTTACATTTATGTCTAATCCATATTGAGTTAATTTTTTAAAAATGTTTAAGGTTTATGTCTTGTTTTATTTTATTTTTTTAAGATGAATTCTCTTTCTGCTGCCCAGGCTGGAGTGCAGTGGCATGATCTTGGCTCACTGCAACCTCCATCTCTTGGGTTCAAGAGATTCTCCTGCCTCAGCCTCCCAAGTAGCTGGGATTATAGGCACTCACCACCACCCCTAGCTAATTTTTGTATTTTTAGTAGAGACAGGGTTTCACCATGTTGGCCAGGCTGGTCTTGAACTCCTGATCTCAAGTGATCTGCCCACCTCAGCCTCCCAAACTGCTGAGGTTACAGCATGAGCCACTGCTCGCAGCCTATGTCTTGTTTTACATTTTTACATGTAGACTTCCAATTGTTCCTGCACATTTGTTGAAAGGATGATTCTTTCTCCATGGAATTGCCTTTGCTTCTTTGTCACAGAAGACTTGACTATTTGTGTGGGTTTATTTCTAGGCTCTGTATGCCATTCCAGTGATTTATGTGTCTATTCTTTCTCGAGTACCACACTGTTTTAATTGCTGTAGCATCATAGTAAGTCTTGAAGCTGGGAAATTTCAGTCCTTTGACTTTATTCTTCTTTAATATTGTGTTTGGTATTCAGGGTCTTTTGCTTTTTCGTATAAACTTTAGAGTCAGTTTGTTGGTACCCATAATGTAGCTTGCTGTGATTTTTATTGGGTTAATATTGAATCTATAAATCAATTTATGAAAAACTGACAATATTAAGTCTGCCAATCCATAATTATGGACTATGTCTGCATTCATTTAGATCCTTGATTTTTTTTAATCAGAATGTTGAAGTTTTTTGCATGGTGACCCTATACGTATTTTGTTAGATTTATTTCATTTTTCAGTGTTATTATAAATAGCATTTTATCAGTATATAAAAAAAGCATCAACTTTTGTATATCAGTCATGTAATCTGCAAACTTGATATAATCACTTTTTAGTTCCAGGAAATTGTTTTGGTGATTATTTGGGATCTTCTACATGGATAATCATATCATCTGTGCATGCAGATAGGTTTTTTAGCTAGGACTTCCAGTACAACATTGAGTAGGAATAGTGAGAGACATTCTTGCTGTGTATACAATTTTATGGGAAAAAAATTCAGTTTTTCAGTATGATGTTAACATTTTTTTTTCTTTCTTTTGGTAGCTGTTCTTTTTCAAGTTGAGAAAGTTCATCTTTATTTTTATTTTGTTGAGAGTTTTTATCAAGAATTGCTTTTGGAGTTTGTTAAGTGCTTTTTCTGCATTAATTGGTATCATCATGTTTTTTCTTCCTTAGCTAGCTGAGGTGTTAGGTTATATTCAGTGTTGTGATGGGTTATATTGATTTAATGTTGAATTGGATTTGAATACCTGGAATAAATCCCACTTGGTCATGATTTGTAATTCTTTTTTATACATCATTGAATTTGATTTGTTAATATTTTTAAAGGATTTTTGCTTCTATGTTCATGAGAGATATTGGTCTGTAATTTTCCATTTTGAATATCTTTATATTAGAGCCCTATTGATGGGCTGGTAAAGTCAGGGAGGGAAAACAGTCTACAATTTTATGGTTAAATATCAATGTTTTAGTGTGCCTGGGTCCCTGGCACGAGAACTTCACAAGTGTTTCATAGCTCCCTTCACTTTGATAAGACAGGAAGTGTATAGGGGGCTGGAGGCAGGAAAATATACTTTCCCCAGGTGGGGTAAGGCTCTGGTAAAATCTTTTCCCTGCAAAGTAGGCCTTGGTTATGGTGCATGTTCTAGAGTTATTTCAAAATGGGAACTTTTTCTACCACCTGCTAGAGCCATGAGAGTTTTCTTAGCTCTCACTGTGAAAACCTGGTGGGGTTCCTAGAGGTAAAGCCCATGAACGTGTAGTGCTGCCTTGTATGACTGAGGCCTCCATGGGTTTCTCACTCTCAGGCTAGTCCACACTTAGCGTCCAGCAATTTGTCAAAGTTACCATTTTAATTTTCCTATCAATTTATGGCAATAGTGATTCCTTCTCCAGGTAAGCAGATCTGAGTGACTCTCTGGGTTCGACTACCTGTCCAGATTTTGGAATGACTGCCCTGAAACCTCAGTTCCCTGATGGATCTGAGCAAAGTGATTGACTTTTAGTTTATTCTTTTTTTTCCTCTTATTGTAAGATCGGGAGTGATGACTTCCAAGCTCTTAACATGCAGGGCTGAAACTTAAAGTTCCAACTTCATTCTTTGCATTCGAATATGCAATTGTACCAGCATCGCTTGTTGAAAAGACTCTTCTTTCCCCATTGAATCTTGTGACACTCTTGTCAAAAAATCACTTAACCATAAATGTGAGGGTTTATCTCTGGACTCTCATTTTATCCTGCTGATCTATGTGTCTACTCTTATGCCAATACCACACTGTCTTGATTATGATAGCTTTGTAGTAAGTTTTGAAATCAGGCAGTGTGAGTCCTCCAACTCCATTGTTCTTTTTCAAGATTGACTATTCCGGTTTCTTTGCATTTCTATATGATTTTTAAGATCAGCTTTTAAATTCCTGCAAATAAGCAAATAAAATTTTAAAGTAGATTCCCTGGAATCTCCAGATCAGTTTGGAAAGTTTGGCTATCTTAACAGTATTAAGTCTTAACTCATTCCATTTATTTAGGCTTCTTTAATTTCTTTCAAATATGCTTCAGAGTTTTCAATATACAAATATTATACTCCTTTTGGTAAATTTATTTCTACATATTTTATCCTTTAGTGCTATTAAAAATAACATTTTTTTAATTTCATTTTTAGATTGCTCATTGTTAGTGTCTAGAAATAAAATTGATTTTTATGTATTGACCTCCTATCCTGCAATCCTGCAATCCTGCAAAACGTACTTATTTGGTTTTTAAATTTTTTTTCAGGTTTTTTTTTATGGTTTTGAGTATTTCTTTTAGGGTGATTGCTTAAAGCTTCTCTGGTTCAATAAAAGTGAATTTAAAAATGCCCGCAAGAGTTATCAATTGGATTGATTATTATACTAAAAAAATACTCTAGGTAAAGTTTGGTGATAAGATGAACAGTAGCTAGAATGAGTTATGGAGTTGAGAGGGGATATTTTTGTCATGGGCCCAACTTGAGGGTGTTTATAGGCTGAAGAGAAGAAGCCAGTGGGAAGAAAGAGTTTGATATTAGAGAAAAGAAGGAGACGGTGGATGAAGAAGTGGCAAAGGAGTCAGAAGGGAGTGGGTTAGGTGTAGCTACTGGTTCTGAAATACCTTAAGGTTTACCTTGTCTTCCTAGATATTGGGGAATGAGTCCAGGGTATAGATATGAATGAACATGTGGACTGGAATGTACAATAAAAAAGCTGACAGGAAGCAAGATGCTGGTGGAGAGTATGCTTGATAACTTCAATTTCTCCATGACATAGGAGTCCAGGGGATTTGCTGAAGGGAGAGGTTTTGAGGAGAGTAGTGAGGTTCGGAATAACTATTTAGAAAACAATTTGGAATTTGAGAATTAAAGCCATCTTTTAAATAGAAAGTCTTTCTAATTAAAAATCTCTAAAGGCTTTTAATAGAATTATATTTTTAAAGGATAGAAAATTCTCTAAAGTCTTTTTAATAGAAAGAATTCTATCAAGAAGAATAGAAAATTCTCTAAAGTCTTTTTAATAAAATATTCTCCATATTACTACGGCAACTGAAATCAGACCAGAATGAAGGTGGATGTCTATAAGATCCCTGCTGTGTTTCCATCTTCTGGATGGTTTGCCAAAAAAGTCTAAGAGAAATTTTAGCTAAGCATTATGTAAACTATCCTGTGACCAAGACCCACTTGGCTTTGATCCCCATTACCCCAACCCCTTTCCTGAATTCTTTATTGTCTCTGAAATAGATCAATGAGGAAATGGTTTCTTTCCAAACCTCTGTTGGGGATAATAAACCTGCTACATGCCTGGTAGGATGATCATGCTTCTGCCTTAAGGCTTATATCCTGGAATATATCCTGGAATATATATATATATATATCTCCTGGAATATATCCTCTGATGTAAAAATTAAATCCCAGTTTAAACATAAAATCCTGGAATCTATCCCTTAACATCTGCTCCAACAGAAACTGAAGTCTGAGCTAGTGTTTTTTTCTTCCCCAGAGTTGTGCTTATGCATGTAGAGGTGTTATGGACTGAATGTTTGTGTCTCCCCCAGAAGTCATATATTGAAGACTTAACCCCCCAGTGTGATGATATTTGGATATGGGCCTTTGGGTGGTAAAGTTAGGTGGGGCCATGAGGGTGGGGTGCTCGTGATGGGATTAGTGCCCTTATAAAAAGAGATGTGAGAGAGCTTGTTCTTTCTCCTTCCATGCTTGCAAAAGAGGTCATGTGAACACATAATAAGAAGGTAGCCATCTGCAAGCCAGGAAGAGAGCCCTCACTAGAACTTGACCCTGCCAGCATCTTGATCTTGGACTTTCAGCCTCCAGATTGTGAGAAAATAAATGTCTGTTGTTTGAACCACACAACTCATAATTTTTTACGGCAGCCTGAGCAGATTAAGACATATTTTGGTACTGAGAAGCAGGGTGCTACTGTAACCATAACTAAACATGTGGAAGCAGCTTTGAAACTGGGCAATGGGTAATGGGTAGAGGCCAGAAAAGTTTTTTTTTGTTGTTTGTTTGTTTGATTATTTTTATTTTTGTAGACACAGGGTTTTGCTATGTTGCCCAAGCTAATCTTGAACTCCTGTTCTCAAGCGATCTTCTAGCCTCAGCCTCCTAAAGTGCTGGAATCGCAAGTGTAAGTGATCAAAGCGGCCAAAATACCCCCCTTTTTTATTATACTTTAAGTTCTGGGATACATGTGCAAAACATGCAGATTTGTGACATAGGTATACACGTGCCATGGTGGTTTGCTGCACCCATCAACCCATTATCTACAGTAGGTATTTCCCTAATGCTATCCCTCCCTTATCCCCCAACCCCCTGACAGGCCCAGGTGTGTGATGTTCACCTCCCTGTGTCCGTGTGTTCTCATTGTTCACCTCCCACTTATGAGTGAGAATATGCGGTGTTTGGTTTTCTGTTCCTGTGCTAGTTTGCTAAGAATGATTGTTTCCAGCTTCATCCATGTCCCTGCAAAGGACATGAACTCATCCTTTTTTATGGCTGCATAGTATTCCATGGTGTATATGTGCCACATTTTCTTCATCCAGTCTATCACTGATGGACATTTGGGTTGGTTTCAAGTCTTTGCTATTGTGAACAGTGCTGCAATAAACATACATGTCTTTATAGTAGAATGATTTATAATCCTTTGGGTATATACCCAGCAATGGAATTGCTGGGTCAAAAGGTATTTCTGGTTCTAGATCCTTGAGGAATCGCCACACTGTCATTCATGGCCATACTGCCCAATGTAATTTATAGATTCAATGCTATCCCCATCAAGCTACCATTGATTTTCTTCACAGAATTAGAAAAAACTACTTTAAATTTCATATGGAATCAAAAAAGAGCCAGTATAGCCAAGACAATCCTAAGCAAAAAGAACAAAGCTGGAGGTATCTTGCTACCTGACTTCAAACTATACTGTAGGGCTACAGTAACCAAAACAGCATGGTACTGGTACCAAAACAGATATATAGACCTATGGAAGAGAACAGAGGCCTCAGAAATAATGTCACACATCTACAACCATCTGGTCTTTGACAAACCTGACAAAAACAGGCAATGGGGAAAGGATTCCCTATTTAATAAATGGTGTTGGGAAAACTGGCTATCCATATGCAGAAAACTGAAACTGGACCCCTTCCTTACATCTTAGACAAAAATTAACTCAAGATGGATTAAAGACTTAAATGTAAGACCTAAAGCCATAAAAATTCTACAAGAAAACCTGGGCAATACCATTCAGGACATAGGCATGGGCAAAGACTTCTTGACTAAAACACCAAAAGCAATGGCAACAAAAGCCAAAATTGACAAATGGAATCTAATTAAACTAAAGAGCTTCTGACAGCAAAAGAAACTATCATCAGAATGAACAGGCAACCTACAGAATGGGAGAAAATTTTTGCAATCTATCCATCTGACAAAGGGCTAATATCCAGAATCTACAAAGAGCTTAAACAAATTTACAAGAAAAAAAAAACAACCCCATCAACAAGTGGGTGAAGGATATGAACAGACACTTCTCAAAAAAAGACATTTATGTGGCCAATAAACATGAAAAAAAGCTCATCATCGCTGGTCATTAGAGAAATGCAAATCAAAACCACAATGAGATACCATCTCACACCAATTAGAATGGTGATCATTAAAAAGTCAGGCAACAACAGATGCTGGAGAGGATGTGGAGAAACAGGAATGCTTTTACCCTGTTGGTGGGAGTGTAGATGAGGCCAGAAGAGTTTTGAGTTGCATGCTAGAAATATAAACATTAAGGGTGGTTCTGGCATGGAAATAGGGAACATGTTATTGGAAACTGGAAGAAACGCAATTCTTGTTATAAAGTGGCAAAGTACTTGGCTGAACTACGTTCTGGTGTTTTGTGTGAGGTAAAACTTGTAAGCAATGAAACTGGATATTTAGCTGAGGAGATTGCTAAGCAAAGTGTTTGAAGGAGAAGCCTAGTTTATTCTGACTGCTTATAATAAAATGCAAAAAGAGAAACATGAATTGAAGAATGAATTTTTAAGCAAAACATTTTGGAAAATTCTCAACCTAACATTATTGCAAAGAAGAAGAAAGCTTGTTCTGAAGAGAACACTAAGGGTGTGGCTAAACAACCATTTGAAAAAGATCATGGGTGCAACTCATGGACTTAATCAGCCATCTCAACAGAGGCTGGGAATACAGATTGGATTATGCCATCAGAGATACTGCCAGTTTGAAGTAAAGGAGACAGAAAAGGTAGTAGAGAATGGAGGAAGGCTGTCAGACTTTTTGGATTTTACAGGATGAAACCATAGAGTATTTCGCTTTGAACGTGTGCTACCTTTCAAGAACAGAGAAGGAACCCAAGGATGATTCAGAAGTCCTTAGGACTGCCACTCTCACCATGGTCCGGGCCCAGTGGGACAGGCTGCCTCCACCTCAGTTTCAAAGGGTAGTGCTGTGCCCAGCAGATCATGGATGGGGACTTTCTGAGAATTCAATGGATGGAGCTTCCCCCTACCCTCAGCTGAGGTAATAAGGCTACCCCCACAGAACTGAAGGGGTTGGGCCACCCACAGAGCTGGGGGGTGACAATGCCACTCCAATGCACCTCGAAAGGGCAGAACATCAAAGCAAAGCGGATAATTCTTGAACTTTAAGACCTAATGGAATTTGTCTTGCTAAGTTTGGACTTGCTATCACCCTTTCTTCTTTTGTATTCTCCCTTTTGGAATGGGAATGCCTATCCTATGCCTGCCCCACCATTGTAATTTGGAAGCATGTAATGTGTCTGGTTTCACAGGCTCATCACTAGAAAGGATTTTTTTTTTTGCTTCAGGATGAATTATACCTCAAGTGTTACCCATATTTGATTTAGATACTATTTAGATGAGACTTCAGACTTAAGAACTGATGCTACAATGAGTTAAGACTTTAGGGCTATTGGAATGGAGCGAGTATATATTTTGCATATGAGAAGAAAATGAATTTTTGGAGTCCAGGGGTGGAATGTTACAGGTTCAATGTTTATGCCTCAACCCCTCTGCCATTTATATATTGAGGCCCTAACTCCCAACGTGATGGAATTTGGAAAATGGGGCCTTTGGAAGGTAATTAGGATTAGATGAGGTTGTGTGGGTGGAGCCCTGTAAGAAGAGACATCAGGGAGCTTGCTTGCTGTCTCTCTCTTCCTGCACATATGTATACAAAGAAGAAGTCATGTGAGCACATGGTGTGATGGCGGCCACCTACAAGCCACAAGAGGAGAACTCAGAATGAAACCTACCTTACCAGCACCTTAATCTTGGAGTTCACCCGACTCCATAACTGTGAGAAATAAACTTCTTTCTTTTAAGCCATCTAGTCTATGGTATTTTGTTATGGCATTCTGAGCTAAGACAGGAGTTAATATTTATTAAATACCAACTATGTGCTAGGCACTGTGCCTCATTTAATTTTAAAACAAAACTAGGAAGTAGGTTTTAGTATTTCCAATTTGCCTGTGAAGAAAATAAAGCTCAGCATCACAAAACTAGTAAGTGATGGCAGATATTATCACATTGCCTTCCACTCCAAAGAAGCTGAACTGATTTATTCTCTCACCAACAATCCCCTCCCCACACACTTACCAACCTTGATAACTAACCCCCAATACATAGATATGTTTTATTGTTAGGGTTTGATTTCATTTCTCCCTTTTTCAAGCTAATGATTAAAAATGACTGACAACTTCTGAACTTGGTACAAAATATTGTCTTTGATATAATATGAGCAGGTATACATCTACGTTACTTTTTGAATGGCTATATTTTATATTATTGCATATATGTAAAATCTTGTTGTGACTATTTATTCAACAAACCCCTATGCCCCATAAAACACTTTTAAGTTGTATCAAGTCCTTCTCTGTTAAAGAAAAGCAACAACAATTTTTAAAAGATGCTTCAATAAACAGCCAGTATACCTATCTTTGTGGTTATGTGTAAGTCGATTGGTAGGATATAGTCCCAGGAGTAGAAGTGATGTTCAGAAGACATACAAATTTTTTATCTTACGTAGTCTTCTCTACTAAAAAAATTTATTCTGTGTTTTCTTCTAGTTCTTCTATGATTTCATTTTTTTACATTTATTTCTTGGATTCATCTGAAGTTTATTTTGGCATCAATAGTAGTGAAAGTTTGAACCTTAGTAATTTTTACTAATGCCATTTATTGACAAATCAATTTTCAACATTGATTTGAAATGCTGCTTTTATTGCATAAAAAATCCTTATATATACTGATCATCTTCTGGACTATCAATTCTATTTTGTTGATCTAGTTTTCTAATTTCAAATTATTTAATATCCCCATAGCAGCATGCTAAAATGCAAAGGCCCTAGAATGAGGGTGACTGAGGTCAAATCCTAACTCTCCCATTTATGAAATATGTGACTTTAGCCTAGCCCCTAAAGTGTATTTGTTCTTCAGCTTCCTCATCTCTAAAAAGATAAAATGTCAAACTAGTATTGCCTAATGACTCCTTCCCTAAGCCAAAATCTTGAGATGGACAGAAGAGAGGAAGGGGTTGAAGGAACTCCCCTTAAGAAACCATACTCAGAAAGTCACACATACACACACAAACCCATGAGGATTCATGGGGAAGCAGAAGAGTGCTGGGGACTTATATAGGTAGGAAGTGGTGAATTGGAAAGGGAAGGCATCAGGGGGAACTTTTAGGAAATAACTTGAGAAAAGGAGGTTCTAGTTTTACCCTGTTATTGCCCACATTGTTCTGGGGGAGTTGAGCTCAGAGGTGAGATTAGGGAAACTGAAACTGGTTTGGAACTGAGTGATGTGTTCCTAGTACACTGTAAAATTTGGCTGAAGCTTGCCTTTTGGGTGAATATCAGAGGATACTCAGAGCCCCACAAAATAGCGGTCTCAAAACCCAAAACAAATAATAATGCAACTGAAGGAATATACACTAATGATGAAGCTAGGACTCCCAGGTTCACCCTTTCCCTACTGTTCTCCCAAGGAGGAAGGTAGTAGTACCAGCTTGAGCCTCAGGATAACATCACACACCACAGTACTGAAGGCTGTCATGGACGACAGCCTCCACTAAGACAGGTGAAATATCAAGGTTAGCTGGCAAGTGGCTGAGTTGGTATTTGAACATGGTCTCTGATTACAAAACCCATGTTCTTCCTACGAAGTAATTTTTCTCCATTGGGGGAATTCTTCAATAATGACAACAATGACAATTTTCCTCTTGTCATTCAATATAGAACACTATTGGATCCTAAATTTCTTTTAGTATAATGATTATAATAATAACAATAAAAAACTAAACAGGAGAATCGCTTGAACCTGGGAGGTGGAGGTTGCAGTGAGCCAAGATCTCTCCATTGCACTCCAGCCTGGGCAACAAGAGCAAAACTCCGTCTCAATATAAACGAATAAATAAATAAATACATAAATAAAAATAAAAGTGTTTTTTCAAAGGTACAGAATGTTAAGAGAGGGATATTTAGTTGCTTGACATTTTCTCGTCTTGGCTTTTATTCCTAGAATCTGACAGATTACAAGAGACTTTGAACTGGCTTCAAGGATCTCCTTAGCCTTACTGATCCTAAACTCACCACAAGAGATGTGATTATGACTGTGTCATTCTTTTAATTCAATTCAGAATCCCCAGTGGTTACCCGCTGACTATAGGCCAGATTCCTCATTATGAATGCTATTTTGTGCTCATTATCCAGGAAGGGGTTATAAGATATTAGAAGGATTCTTGAGGCATTGTTCCTTTTAGTGTAAGGTTAAGGGGTTAATTGAACATCGGATAATCTCTGAGGTCCGACTCAAACTAAAGTTTTCAAGTCCCTATACCAATAGGCTTCAAATTATCTCCTAAGCCTCGTCTTCTCTAACTCCTTGATATAAACCTATCTTTATTTTTTATGTACTTATAATTTTTTCCATTAGAAATGGAATCAGTTCAGAATGCATAAAGCTTGATATTTAAGAGCTCAAGATCAATGAAGCCTTTTCCTTCTGCTTCAGTGAATTTATTAATTCAGCTCTTCATGTTCCATAAATTGTCACTGATTTAGTAATTTGATGAAAACATTTATATACAAATATTCCATAAAATATAAAGCCTATAGATACCAAGAAGTTTACTCAGCCATAGATAGAGTCTTAGAATAAAACACTCTGAATACACACAAATGAATAAGATATAAGAATATAATAGAAAAGCACTTATACTGGAGGAGTTTGATGATATATGTCCCTGGAGACAAAATTGTATTAGAATCACCTTCTCTCCATCCTGTTTTATTTCAAAGACCTTTCATATAGTACATTGCTTTTATGTTTAGAGTTTATGCCTAAATTTAACTCCATTATTCTTTTAGTTACTTTACTATTTATTTGTTTAAAAAAAGATTTGAAATGCTGGCGTACAATAAACTATTGCAAAGCTTCACAAAGTTCTAAACTCTCCTGGACTCTTTAGTAACTGAGTTATCCTAGATAGTTGCTTTCTATGTAGCTATTCTTTTTAAGAAGAGCATTTTAAAATAATTTTTGTCATTCCAAAAGAAATTTTTCCATAATGAGGGCATCCTCATCAGAGGATAATGAACATAGTATTTTAGTTATGATTAAGATCATCGCTAATCTTTTCCCTTTCTTCAGCAGCATTTATTGAGCAGATATTGGGTGAAGTTGACTATACAGAGTCTGTATAGGACAGGAGTGCTTTCATTTTCATTCATTCCAAAATAATTTGAAACTTCAATTTTGTTATTTCCTTATCCAATGAATTATTTAGAAGTGACATAAAATATCTAGCTGTCTGGGTTCTTTTTTAAAAAAATTTCTAATTTTAACATATTGTGCTTAGTTAAGTAGTTTATATATACATATTTAAAATTTTGCTGTAATTTCCTTAGTGGCTTCTATAAGAGCATTTTTTTTTGGTACATGTTATCAAGTAAACTGTGTATTCTCAGTTAGGTGTAAGTTCTATGTATATCTATTAGGATAACCTTGTTAATTTTATATTTAAATACTCTATATTTTTATTCATAGTATATCATAGTAGCAGACTGTAACAGACCACTATGATGTGATGTGTATTTGTTAATTTTCTTTTGTGATTTTACTAACTTTTTAGGTATTTCAAAATGATATTGAGGCATTTTAGGTTCATGATCATTATATCTTGCTGGTAAATTATTTGACAATATGAAATGTCCTGTTTTGATACTTTTAATGCTTTGACTTTCAATTCTATTTTGTCTGATACTGATGTTGCTGTTCCCATCCTACTGTTAGTACCTGCCAGGTGTAGGCTTTCAAACTTGGAATCATCATGGTTTTGGCTCTCTCCAGTAAGCAGCACTTAGCCGGAGTCTTAAAAATCCAACCTGATATTTTACCTTTTATGAAACAAATTTACCCCATTCATATTTATTTATTTATTTATTTTGTGAGACAGAGTCTCTCTCTGTTGCCCAGGCTGGAGTGCAGTGGCACGATCTCGGCGCACTGCAGCTTCTGCCTCCTGGGTTCAAGCCATATTTATGGTTATTAAAAATATATATTTAAACCTACTCCTGCCATCTTATTTTGTGTTTTCATTTTAACCTTCCTTTCTTTCTTGTTTTCTTGTTTCCCCTTCCCAGCCTTTTCAGGGATTAATGAAATTTTCTTTGTTCCACTTTTCATGTACTGTTTTGAAAACTATATTCTATCTTTATTCTTCCAGTGGTTATATTAACTTTTTAGTCACAAGTGGTTGAATTTGTATTTTCTAATAGTATCTATAATCACTGTCCATTGTCCCCTTTTGATGAACCTTAGAATGCTTTTTTCCCTAAATTCTTCATCAGCACCTACACTTCTATTTTCCACAACCCATGTTGAAATAACCTGGAATTTTTGGCACAGAGTATTTATTAAATATAGTTTTGCAATTATATTTCATAGAAAAATAGATTTTTGGCTTTCTTTGCTAACCACTGCAGCTCCTCGTGAGGTCCTGGATTCATTTTCTTTGTGTATTCTCTAGTAGTAGTTTCAGCTTTCAGAGAGATTCTGCTGTGTTATTAAAACTCTGAATTGGGGCCCGGCGCGGTGGCTCATGCCTATAATCCCAGCACTCTGGGAGGCCGAGGTGGGTGGATCACGAGGTCAGGAGATCGAGATCATCCTGGCTAACATGGCGAAACCCCGTTTCTACTAAAAATACAAAAAAATTAGCCAGGCGTGGTGGTGGGCGCCTGTAGTCCCAGCTACTGGGGAGGCTGAGGCAGGAGAATGGCGTGAACCCGGGAGGCAGAGCTTGCAGTGAGCCGAGATCGCGCCACTGCACTCCAGCCTGGGCAACTGAGCAAGACTCCATCTCAAAAAAAATAAATAAATAAAAATAAAAAATAAAAAAAAATAAAACTCTGAATCCCTGGATGTTTGAAAAACATCTTATTTCTTCCTCACATATTAATGATATTTTGGCTGACAATAGAAATTTGGATTTGAACTTCTTCTTATTCAGCAAACTGAAGGTATTGCTCCAATGTCTTTTCTTCATCCAATATTATCTATGAAAAATCTATGCCAAATTTGATTAGAATTACTATAAACAATCTTTTTTTCACTCTCTCTGAAATCTTCAATAGTTACTCTTTATACTTATAGCTTTTAACATATTGACTATATCCTTAATGCTCTGAATTCTCATTACATTTGTACAGATGTGGGGCCTTTTGTTTTTGTGATGTGTTTGTTTGTTTAAATCCTGCTCTGTGGTTGGTGAACTGTTTCCATTTGAGGGCTTATATTTTTCTTCACTTATAAGAAATTCCATCCTATTATTTCTTCAGATTTTACTTCCCTTCTATTTTCTTTATTAGCTATTAGCTAGAAGTTATGACTTAACAGAACTCTCTTCCATGTCTTTTAAGTTTTCAACTTTTTTTATCACCTTGTGCTACATTCCTACGTTCTGTCTTCTATATATCAAATTCCCTTTTCAGCTGTTCTCATTTTTCTATTTGCATCTACTGAATTTTTTATTTTAATAATTACATTTTTTAAAATTTCCAGGGTTTGACTTTGGTTTGTTTTATCACAGATAGCTCCTTATTCGTTATTTTGATGCCATACTATATTTGAAGACACTAATTAAGCTTCTTAAGAAAAGTCCTTTTCTTATCATCTATTAAATTTTTCAAAGTTGTAATTCTGTTGGGCTGTTATATATATTTTTTTATGGAGGCTGCATGCTAAATATTGTTGATTCTTGACTGTAGGCTCATCTTGGTGATTTGAATTCCCCGCTAGACTCCTTATGCTTTCACTCCCACAGCCAGCCTTAGGGGAGGTATAGAAACAGCTTTTGAGGTTTGTGCTCCTCACTGTTTTCAGTGAGAATGAGGGAAAGTTGAGATGGGTATTGCTGACCCTGCCCCTCATTCTTAGGCTGGCTCCTATGCAGAGACAGACTTGAACTGGTAGAGAGGTAAAGAGTGGGATGTACATGGCATGACCAGAGTGGATGCCTCAACTCATTTTCTTATGATTTGCCTTAGCTTCCACCTCCTGTCTAGTCCTACCTTCTACCATGTCTAAGCATGGGCACCCTTGGTGATGCTCCCGTCTTCTGTGGCAGGACTTTCTAAAAGTTTCCAGTACAAACTCCAGACTACAATTACTCTCTGCAAACAGCCTGTGTACTTTTAGACTTTCTGGGATTTCTCATCATTTTGATTAGCCAAAAATCTCTTTGAATTTAGAAAACAAGCTATACATTCATATACTTAAAAAATAACTTAAGGCTTAGAGTGGAAGGACAGAAGCTGAGAAAGGAGAGGATATCATCGTGCAATTAGTGTTCCATCTTGAAAGTGAAAGCCTCCATTTATATTTTGTGTTGTTTCCCTTTTGTATTGATATTAGGGATACTAAGCAATTGTCACCTACTTTGCAAATACTTGTTACATGTGCCTTTAAATTTCATTTCAGGTATCTTCAGAGACACAGATGTTTTACATTTTAATGAGGACAAATCTGTTCATTTTTCACTTTAAGATTTCTGGTTGTTGTGTCATGCTCATGAGGCCTTTTTACTCCACAATTTTAAAAGTTTCCTGTATTACCTTCTGAAATTTCATGGTTCACTCTTTCATATTTAGATATTTCATGTTCAGATATAGATCTATGAGGACTTTAGTTTTCGGTTTGAGGTGAGGTTTCGTGTGTTTTCCATTCTCCCTTTTCTATATAGGAGTTTTTATTGCAGCTGTTCTACTGCTCCACTAATTTGTTTTGGGTGGGTAGATGTAGAAGAGCATTTAACATGTTTACTTGATAGTTCATCAAATCATAACAAACCACATCCATATTTGATGTACGGGAATGTGCAGCCCTGAGTTCTTGACTTTTGAGATGAGTTCAGTAACTGCCTGGGGTTTGGGGTCATCTCCCTTTGGGGAAAGATGAGTGTGAAGAAGAGTATGTGAAGATATATAGTAGCCAGAGAAGCTGACTGTGGCAGAGAGCACAAAGTGTCCACCAAAACAATCTTCCAGTTCTCCCTTCGGGCACACAGCTAGAGTCCATCTCCCTGTCTCCTTCAGTTAGGTAGAGCCAGGCGACTAAGTTCTTTTTGGTGCAGTGTCAACAGCCATGCTTGCCACGCCCATAGAAGCCTTCGTATGTACTTCATCCTTTTTGAAGGCTGGATGTAGTTGAAAAGTTTCTAAGAGACGGGGCCAGGAGATGCCAGGGTTCTTAAAGACATGAAAGACTGCATGGGGGACTTGAAAGTTGCCTGCTGAATGTTTTGCCTTGAACTTACACTCAAGTGAGAAATAAGCTTCTGAAAGTATCAGTTTGCTTTAGTTTTTTTTTTTTTTTTTTTTTTTTTTGAGATAGAATCTCGCTCTGTCTCCCAGGCTGGAGTGCAGTGGTGCGATCTGGGCTCACTGCAAGCTCCGCCTCCAGGGTTCACGCCATTCTCCTGCCTCAGCCTCCCGAGGAGCGGGGACTACAGGCGCCCGCCACCAAGCGCGGCTAACTTTTTGTATTTTTGGTATAGACGGGGTTTCACCGTGTTAGCCAGGATAGTCTCGATCTCCTGACCTCGTGATCCGCCCGCCTCGGCCTCCCAAAGTGGTGGGATTACAGGCGTCAGCCACCGCGCCCGGCCCGAGATATGCTTTTTGAGTTAAGAAGATTCCTTTTATTTCTAACTTACCCAGTGGCTTTGTTGTTGTTTTAATCAGAAATGAGTGTTAAATTTTATTGAAGATTTTCACACCTGTTAACTATATCATATAGCTGTTCCCCTTAAATCTTCCTATGTAATAAATTCCAATTATTACATTAATAGAGTCCTTAAAGTAGAACTATATTTAAATATGACCGTAAGATGGTATTCTTTTAATGCAATGCTGGACTTCATTTTGTTTATAATTTTTGTGTATGTTCAAGTGTTTCATTGATTTATAGTTTTCTTTTTTATCCTATCTTTGTCCAGTTTTGTCACTGAGTTTATGCTAGATGCAAACTGAGAAGTTTATCAGCTTTTTCTTTAATCTTTAACAATTTATATATCATGAGTTATCAGGGCCTCATGCCCTTTGAAGGACATGTATATATATATATATATATTTACTATGGTTCTAATTTCCTCTAGTGTTATGGATCTATTCATTCTTTTCATTAAAATTTGTAATATTTGTTATGTCCCCTCTTCTAATTTAATTTTTGTTAAATTTTATTAAATTTTCAGTGGTTATATCAGTTTTTAAATTCCTGCCATGCACTGCTCTTATTGATTACAGTTTCTGAGGGCTCATGTATTGTCAAAGAATGTGAGTTTTGATTTCACAATTTTACCATTTTCTAACTTATTTATTTTTGCTTTTATTTTTATTTCTTTCTTCTGCTTTCCTTGATTTTATTTTGTTTTTCCCTTTCTAATACTTCGAGGGTTGTTAATTTTTTTGTTTAATTAGAAGGCATTTGGGGCTATAAAGTTTTCTATATTTCACAAGTTTTGATTAATAATATCTTGTTCTAATGTTTCCTAAGTAGTCCGTTAATTCATAAAATTCTTCATCAAATGGCTTGTACAATAAGAAACTAAAATAGCATGCTTCATGTCAGTCTCTTACAAGTAGAATATCTTTCCATTTCTCCATGGATTTTTGAAGTATTCCAGGCTATATTTTACTTTCAGTAACTCATATCAGGTGAAAGAGGAAGGAACTGAGCCAACACCACATTCCTCTGGAGTATGTTTGGTATTCTTCAGGTACAATTTTACTCATGAAAGTCTTTTTTAGAATTATAGTCTTACTGCAAACAAAAAGGAACCTGAATCTTTATAGGTGATCTATTTCTTTTTCATTACTAATTGGGAAAATGTACATACTTAACTATGTGTTTATCAATATTAAAACTTTTGAATTCTAAAATTACCAAAAATATGAGAGCTTTAAGTAATAAAAATTGGTACATTTCATCTTTAAATATTTTAATTGCCTTATGTATGAAATAAAGTATCATATTAATTTGACATGGCAATTTCTATTTCATTGTCTTTATTTATTTATAGTGCTGTATAGAAACTTAATATGACCACAGAAAGCCTTTCTATTATCTGCCATAGGGATTTAAAGATATTTTCTTTTGTCTTCTCCAATCATCTCATTTATTAAAACTAAAGTTTCATGTTTTTAGTAGAGTCCTTGAAGTAGAAATATATTTAAATAAGACCATGAAATGGTATCCTTTTAATGCAATGCTGGACTTTGCTTATAATTTTTGTAAGTGTATTAAAATGTTTTATTGGTTTATAGTTTTCTTTTACATCTTATTTTTGTCCAATTTTTGCATTGTGTTTATGCTAGATGCAAACTAGGAAGTTTTCAGCTTTTTCTTTGGTCTTTAACAATTTATATATCATGATTTATTGGGGCCTGGTGCCTTTTTGAGGGATGTATTTTTACTATGGTTCTAATTTCCTCTAATGAATTCATTCCTAAGGAGCCTATTAAATTTTCTCTCTGCTCTACATCACTGCACCAGCAACAATAATTATTAGCTTTGTGAACTTTGGCAAATATCTTAACCTCTCTGTGCTTCAATTTCTTCAAATGTAAAGTAGGGATAACCGCAGTTTCTATCTCACAGGATCTTTCCAAAGTTAAGAGTCTATAACATAAAGTATTTACAATAGTCCTGGGGATAATGTTAGTGCTATATACATTAGCGCTATTATAATATTTTTATCATAATATAGAAGTAATCATAGCTGCCTCCATTGAAAACCTTATGGCTATTTTTTTTCTCATTATTAAATTGTCCTTTATGTGTGAAGGACATTATATAAATTGTCATCATCTTGTCCCAAACCCAGTGATGTGGGTGTTATTACTCTCCATATGAGAAGCTAAGAGATGTGAAACAACTGTCAAATTCACAAGGTAGCAAGTGATAGAAGTGACATTTGAATCCACATTTGTCTGTCACATAAGTCTGTGCTCTTCTCATTATATTACCCAGCCTGATGTCACCCTGTCTACAAAAACCTACTTTCATAACCTCTTTCTGCCATCAGCAAAGCAGAGGTTCATCTTTTTTGGCACACTGAAAAGACTGTGCTTAGAGCAGCAACGTTGTACCACTGTGCCGCAGGATTGAACTGCAGGTCTTTAGTGACATTAATGATTTACTGTTGCTTATCTCAGCTTACCCCAGGTAATTTGTCAATCAATACCTGGCCTTTGGATTTTCTCTATGTCATTTCTCCCTGTTCCCAATTTTAAACATGTATTTAAGATTGTCTAGCTAGAATTTCTCTAGCTCTCTGGGCAGTCCCTTGGCATGAAGGGGTTATGCAATATAAAATGCTCATGAATCAATATTTCACAGGATCCCTGGAGTTCAAGTTGGTACTGGAGGAAAATGGCGATTTTCCAGGGTGAAGCCCAAAGTACTAGTTGCTAGAAAAATGCTTCTGAGGCCTGAAAATAATCAAGGATTTTTGTTGTTGTTTTTGTTTTATTTTTTGTGCCTATCAAAGACCTGTGTATAACCCAGGTCTGCATGTCCATGAAGCAAGCCTTCTTTTTTCACTCCAATCCAGCATGCTCACTACCCCACCTTTCCCCTCTTACAGCAGCCTTGAATCACAAAGTAGTTGTCTATCAGTCTTGATTGTTTTATGTATTTATCCAGTATCCCTAACAAAATGGTAACTCCTGTATCTTTTCTTTTGTATTGGTATCCCGCAGTCCTCTGCCAAGAAAGGACTATGCAGTGACCATTGCTTCCTTTTAAAATTGTGGCAAAATATACATAACATAAAATTTACCCTTTAACTATTTTAAACTATCTAGTTAAGTGGCATTAAGTACATTTACATTATTGTACAGCTACCACCCATCTCTAGAACTTTTCATCCAAACTGAAACTCTCTACTCATTAAACAATTTCTCCCCAGCCCCTGGGAAAACCACCATTCTACTTTCTGTCTCTATGAGTTCAACTACTCTAGGTACCTTATATAGGTGGAATCACACAATCTTTGTCCTTTTGTGTCTGACTTATTTCACTTAGCATAATGTCCTCAAGGTTCATCCATGTTTTAACGTATGTCAGAACTTCATTATTTTTATAGGCTGAAGAATATTCCATTGTGTGTGTGTGTGTGTGTGTGTGTGTGTAAGTGTATATGACTTTTTGCTTATCTGTTTAGTCATTAATGGATATTTGGATCATTTCCACCTGTTGGCTATTGTGAATAATGTTGCTATGAGCACTGGTGTACAAATATCTGTTTGAGTCACCTCTTATTGGGTGTATATCCAGGAGTGGAATCACTGGCGATGTTTAATAACTTTGAGGAACTGCAATACTGCTTTCATAGCTGCTGTCCCATTTTACATTCCCACCAGCAATGCCCGAGTTCCAGTTTCTCCACACTTTCTCAACAATTGTTATTTCACCATGATTCTTCTGACTTAATCCTCATGACAAATTGATAATTATTACTATACCTAGTATTGGTATTGTGCTTCACAATTGACCATTTTGCATATATTATGCTTTTGAATATTTATAATAATCTTTGGTTTAAGTATTACAGCTACATTACAAAAGAATACATTGATATTTAGAGATGCTACATCACTTGTCCAAGAGCACAGAGCTAGTAGGTGGAAAAGTCAAAACCATAACTTTACCAGATTTCCTTTATTATTTGAGAATTAAACAATTCATGTTTTTGAGATTCTCCCTCGAATGTTTCACTCACTCTGCATTATAATAAGGGCAGTTCACGCATTGAGAAAGATTCCTGAAAAGGAGACCTGCTGCTGTCCCATGTCTCCCAAGGTATCAAAGAAAATAAATGACTTAAATAAGTAACAGGAAGGGTTTAGGTTAGATATTAATTGGGTGGTTGGTGTTGGTCAGACATTGGAAAGGATTACCAAAGGACTTTTTGAAATAATGCAAGTCCTGAAGAACGCCATAGAGTTCATCCTAGTACATGTCTGAAGGCAAGGAAGTAATTCAGTGCAACCTTGTTAGTTATTTGAAAGTAGGGGATAAACTGGATGACTTCACATCATTTCTTCAAGTTACCTGATTCTATAACACAGATTCTACCAAATGGCTTTGTACTAGTGAGGTAAATTGTTTTTTGGGGTTAGGGGATGAAGCTTGTTTTCTCAACTCCTTCATCATCGATCTCTGGAGAATGCAGTCCCCAACTCTCAATTCCATTTCATACCCTCAGAGTTCACGAGGTCTTCAGGGGAGGGGACAGAGATGACCTAATTCACCTGGGGGTTCTGAGTTAACCTCACCAGTTAACTTTCTTAAATATTGTTGAGTTGTTTTTCTTCTGCTCTTCTGGGAGATTTGAAGGATTTGCAATTTTGGCCTGAAATTAAATGGGATAATTTCTTTTATTTTTTTTATTTTTTTTGAGATGGAGTCTCACTCTGTCGCCCAGGCTGGAGTGCAGTGGTGCAATCTCAGCTCACCGCAACCTCCACCTCCCGGGTTCAAGCGATTATCCTGCCTCAGCCTCCTGAGTAGCTGGGATTACAGGCGGCGTGCCACCACACCTGGCTAATTTTTGTATTTTTAGTAGAGACGGGGTTTCATCACGTTGGTCAGGCTGGTCTTGAACTCCTGACCTCGTGATCCACCCCCCCCCCCCCCTCCGGCCTCCCAAGGTGCTGGGATTACAAGCGTGAGCCACTGTGCCAGCCTAAACGGGACAATTTCAATGTCCAAATGTTACATGTTGTCAGTGGTGGGTCATAAAGTGGGGACAAGGGAGTTGACTTAACACAAAAAGGGTAGAAGGAAGATATCTGGTGAAGAAATAAAATTCTCTGGGTATTTATGTAGATGCTGCCACCAATGAGCTATCTGCCTTAGAGCAATCTGTAGGGAAATTAGATATCCATGTGACTCTATTCATGCTGGGCAGTCCCTCCTCTCTCCTTCAGAACTGTAATTGTACACCATTCAGTGACCTTGAATGCAAGACCAATTCTGCTGTCTAGAGCTGTTCAATATCCATGCATGTCACTTTCCTCACGACTCAAAAGAAGGAATTAGAGCTTTCCACCTCACAGTTGTTAGAGATTAAAATAACAAAACTTTTTGAAAATTAGTGTGCATTCCAAGCACTCTAAAGACCTTGTCAGGAGAATGTTGAAATTAAGACAAAACTATTCTAGAAATCATTTAAGAAATTGCTAGCTGAGAAACGAAGGCAGTAAACAAAAGTGGCAATCAGTTCATAAGTGATGTGCATCTGAAACTCAAAAAGATAAAAATAAGAAGCAAATTGTTGAAAACACAAAAAAGCAAAAGTATTGCCTCTCACCCACATCTGCTTTATTTTGTTCTCCTTTCTTTGAAGTCCCCTTGTCATAGGCCCTAGCCTCTTACACAGTAAATGACAAGTGAAGAACTGGATTTTGTGGGGCAATCACTGAAGGACTGAAGCGTCACTTTAGTAAATATCCCAGCTTTTCCAACAGGTCAGCAGTGGTGACCTGGAGTAGTGATCACACTGTTCCTGCCTGATGCAGGACATTTAGTCTTTAGAATGATGGAGCACAGAATGCAGAGCTGGGGAGACTACTCAGAGATAATCCCGTCCAACCCGTCATTGTACAGATGATGAAACTGAAGCCAGCAGAGTGCTATTTTTTTTTTCTTTTAAATTTCAGAATTGAAAATTAAGAATGCCATGTAAAGCAAGGTGAAAAAGGCAGGGGTGTACACATCAATCCCAGATCCAGGGAGCCAACATCTTTAAGTAGACTTCTTCAGATGGCCTGTGGGGTACCACAGAGCTTACAGAACAACTTAAGATCACTCCAAACCAGGTAACATTTCAATAAATACATGGATTTAAGGCCAATAGAAGCTGGCTTAGCACCTTGCTGATCCTCATTCTTACCAGAACTCCCGTCTAACCCCAGGTAACTTCACAAGTTGTTAGAAACCATCCTTCAAAGATCTGCCTCTTTCCTTCTGCGTGGCAGCTGGAGACTCCTGCTTGGTCCTAATCAGTGCAGGATCAACAACAGAAATCCGCAAATGTCAGTCATTTTTCTGTTTTCACTACCCAGTTGTTTTCTCTTGAGTTTAACTGCCTGAATTTTAGTGTCTGTGATAAGCACTCAGGGGTAATATCATACACCTCTGGAAGCCCTCTACTGATTGTGGGCTATGATCTGCAAGTGATGAAAGCAGGATTTGGCCAATTAGGAGTACAAGAATTTCTTGGCACTGCCAGAGCTTCACAGAAGATGTGTGCTGTGCACATTCCCATGGAGCTGGCTTGATTTCACAATCTTTCACAGCCTATTGTAATATACCACCCATCTCAAACAAGGTCCCTGTCCAAGTGTGCTTTAATGTTTTATGAAATCAGCTGCAAATGTCAGGATTTAAAAATCCAAAGTTGAAACCCACATTTTATTCTTTTTTATTCTGTAAGATTTAGCATGTCAATTACATCTTTAATCATAAAAGAGCATGACAAACAAAATGTGTTGTGATGGGAGTATGAAAATTTTTTTCTAATACTTTTATATTAGTATTTTATATTTTATATTTATATTAAATGCCCTATGATGAAAGTATATTTGTGAACCAAAAAATATGTATGTATATTAAAGAATCTTGCCAAATATAGTGGGAATTTTTGGGGCTTTGTGATGTTGATGTTGGATCTTCGTCACTCACTCAGCTCAACAATGAAATAAAGCACCAGGGTGTTGGTTGGCTACTTCGATGTTTTATGCGTCTATGAAAAGTCTAAACTTATCATCATTAAAAGTGGACTTGTGGAGTCTGGGGGATGATTTTGATACTAGTTTTATTGTTCAAAACCCCAGAGTTGGAGCTAGAACTCTCAGAGAAGCTTCTCCTTGAGAAGGTAAAAGGGAAGGCAGGGTGCTCTTCCAGTGCAGGTGGGGTGGCCTCAACACTCCCAGGCTTTCTGCTTCTTCAGTGTTTTCCTCAGCGTGACTAACGAAAATGCTCTTTGTTCTTTATTCCAGAGTCAAAGACATCCCTGCCACGCAGCACATAGATTTATAACTCTGGTCAAAGGTTTCGACAAATACAGATTTCTTCAATCCGAAGTCCATCTGTGTGTGTTCCCAGAAATAAAGAACAGTGCATGTCTATCTCCCTCTCTCTAATCCGTAGAGGTAGCAAGGGCAGGAGAATTGAATTCCCAAAAGGACTTCTTATAGCTCTGGTGACAATTACCATCTCAAACAGGCTGGTGCTACCTTGGGGACACATGTGGACTTTATTTTTTGCTCTCTTTTTTCAAACTGAGGTAGTGTCAGCACTGACACAGACAGTCCAGAGAAAAGAAACTGTGTCTGCTGTCATGTTTATTTAGTTGGTATAAGTGGAAAGATCATAACCTGAAGTTTTGATGAAAACACACTTCTTGCTCAGATAATCCATTATGTCATTGATTAGTTCTGCTAAGAGAAAGCGAATGGGTTAAAGAAACAAAAAAGACAACAAGATGTGGGATTAGGTCTGGGGATGTGGAGCATGTAGGGAACATCATAAAATTTCTGATTTCATATCTGGGACCTGGGTACATGATCTGAGACATAAATTTGAATGTTCAACAGCCAAATTATCCTGCCCCCTAGACATAACCTCCCATGATGCAAAGCAACAGGGAAGGTGCATGAATTCTTTCAGGCTCTATGAATGTCCCTGAGCAATCTGTTTCTTTAGCATCTTACATAAACATGGCTGGAATGACAAAAGCTCACCAGGGTGCCTATGGGGAAGGGGTGCAGTTCCAATGCCTGAAGTCTCTGTGACAACACCAAGGGAAAAACATTGGAATGGAAGCCAATATAATGATATTGAACCCGCTCAAGTGAGCAGTTTTGTGGAAGGCATCCATTTTGGAGCTGAGCTCAAATACTACTGGAGCTCAGTATTGTAGAACAGCCTGATTCACCACCAGGTCTGCAGTAGAGTCCAGGTATGGCATTACCCTTTGATTTACCTAATCTGGGAAGAAGCCAATTGGCCTATGGAACACCTGAAAGTAAAACACTGCCCACCAGAGATGAGAAACTTTGCCTGCCTATAAACTCTGATAAGATGCCCTTGATAACTGAAAACCACAGGAATGCCAACAATAAGTCTCAGTTATTGAGAAGTTTGCTGTCCAGTGGGAAAGGCAGGTAATAACAATCCTCAAAAATAATACATTAAGTGCTATACTAAGGGTATATCCAGGGTGCTGTCAGAATGCAGAAGAGGCAGTACCTAATCCAGCCTGACAGTGAGGGTCAGGGAAGGCTGCCACTATATCTAGATTTAAGAAATTCAGAGCACAGTTGACATAGCTTGTCTTAAGGATGACACTTGGCCTTCTAAATAAATCAAACTTTTCCCAGAACCATTTCAAAGGACTTAGCTCTGTGTATCCATCTGCATTCCCAGTGAATGGAAGAAAGGTCAGAAATGAGTTAATGCTCATACACTGGCCTGTGCCACTGTTTTAAATCTATTGTCACTGCTTTGTCTGCTGAATTAGTATTCCTCCCTACCTGATTTTCTTTAACAAGCCAGTTCTTTGTGTCTTCCAATATCCTTCTCTTCATATAATTTCAAAACAGATCTCCGTCTAACCACTTAAATTGTTTAGCTTCATGTGACATGTCTTCTGGAGGCTAACAGCATAATTGCTTTAGATAATTTTTTTTTGTTTACATTATGTAAGATTTTACTTCACTTGACATTTGCTATTTTCCCTTCCCTACCTTCTGTATACTTCAAGGAATTCTGAACTGTCAGTGCTCACACAGCATAAGCCTGGCACTTATTTTCAGTATGATATGTCACTTCATAACAAAAAACCTAGAAACATATTCATTTCCTGTAAAATTATCTGAGTTGAGTGAGTTTAAAGTTGGAGAATGGGCTCTACCTGGGGCTACAGAGAGAGCTCAAGCCCCTAAAAGTGAATGTCATCCTCTCATGCCCTGATGAAGCTGTTTATTTTCCATGACGTAGCACTTTCCATCCAGGACAAGGTCTGACCAGCCTGGCTCACGACAAAATTAGACTGGATATTGGCATCCTCTTATCTTTTTGTCTTTTCTCATTGGTATTGTTCACGTGTCCATTATTCCTCTGGTCTGGAGAGGCTGAAAGAACTCAGGAATTACAAGGATGGACCTTTCAGTTGCAGGCTGTGGACCTATAGTAGGTCCTTTAGAGTGGGATGATTTGTTGTTGAGTAAGGGCCTTGCTCAAGCATTGTCAGCCCAAGCTTGGACACAATGCAGGGTCACTTCGGTTCTCCTGGAAATGAGAATAGTGGTAGCCAGTGGAGAGACTATTTTTGGAATAACATTTCCAAAGGCCATTTCCACTTCAAAAATAAATATTATGCACGAACTGGTATGATTATGTAGATTTTCATGTTGGATCTGTTAATATGATAGATTATACTGACAGATTTTTAAACTGCTTTATTGAGATATAATCCACGTACCCTACAATTCACACAATTAAAGGATACAATTCAGTGGTTTTTAGTACAATCACAGAGTTGTGCAACTGTCACCACAACTTAATTTTAGAACATTTTCATCACCTTCAAAAGAAATGCCATACCCAATAGCCATTACCACCACATCTCCCATTTACGCAAGCCCTAGGCAATCAATAATCTACTTTCTGTCTCTATAGATTTTTCCTCATTCTGGACATTTCACATAAATGGAATTATATAGTATGTAGTGGCTTGTTACTGGCTTCTTTCACTCAGCATACCGTTTTTAAGGTTTGTCTGTGTTGTAGCATGTAAGAGAGGTAGTTCACTGTTTTTTATTGCCAAAAAATTTCCATTGTATAGATATATCACATTTTGTTTATCCATTCATCAGTTGATGGGCATTTGGGTTATTTCCTCTTTTTGGCTATTATGAACATTGATGTACAAGTGTTTTTGTGAACATATATTTTTATGTGTCTTGAATCTATACCTAGGAGTGAAATTGCGGGTCATATGGTAATTGTATATTTAACCAGTTAAGAATTGAGAGAAAACAGGCAACAGTGAGAACTTTTCAGAAGAAAATGTTAAGGACAGTAAAAGGAGATCGTGTTTGGGACTGAAAGGGGCTAACCCTAGCCAGTCTGCATAATCTGGATATCAATGGTGGTAACAAAAAACATTTCCTAGGTAGCCCTTAGAAAACAAAACTGCAAGTAAACTTTCTTTTAGTTATAATGTCCTAAGATATTTTTCTTATCCATACAGGGGGTTAGGTAGATTTTCTATTCTTGTAAATTATTTGTACATGGCAGGTCTCAGAAGCACTTAGGAGGAAATTGTATCAATTTCATTGCCTACAGTCATATCTGAATCTTGTAAAGCTGTGCTGTCCAACATTATGGCCACCAATCATGTGCTGCTTTTAAAATTAAAATAAAATAAAATTTAAAATTCAATTCCAAATCACACTAGCCATACTTCTTTTTTTCTTACTTTTTTTTTCTTTTTTTTTTTGTTTTTTTGAGAGACGGTCTCACTCTGTCATTCAGGCTGGAGTGCAGTGGTGTGATCATGGCTCACTGCAGCCTTGACCTTCAAGTCTCAAGCAATCCTCTGGCCTCAGCCTCCCTAGTAGCTGGGACTACAGGCACACACCACCACGCCCAGAAAAGTGAAAAAAAAATTTTTTTTTGTGACATGGGTTCTCACTACTTTTCCCAGGCTAAACTTGAACCCCTGGATTTAAACAATTCTTCTGTCTTGGCCTTCCAAAGCCTTGGGATTATAGGTGTGAGCCACCATGCCCAGCATTAGCCACATTTCAAGGGCTCAATCACCAGATTTTGTTTATGGCTTTGGTATCAGACAGTACAGACAGAGACTGCTCCCCTTATTGCAGCAAGTTCTATCAGACAGTGTTGTGCTATAGCATGAAAGCAGAGGTTCTCAACTGGTGGTGATTTTTACCTCCCAAAAGAATCTGGCCATGTCTTGAGACATTTTGATTTTTATAACCTAGTATGTCCGGAATTGGTGGGTTCTTGGTCTCGCTGACTTCAAGAGTGAAGCCGCGGAGCCTCGCGGTGAGTGTTACAGTTCTTAAAGGCGGCGTGTCCGGAGTTTGTTCCTTCTGATGTTCAGATGTGTCCAGAGTTTCTTCCTTCCGGTGGGTTCGTGGTCTCACTGACTTCAGGAGTGAAGCTGCAGACCTTCGCGGTGAGTGTTACAGCTCTTAAAAGCGGCGCGTCTGGAGTTGTTCTTTCCTTCCGGTGGGTTCGTGGTCTCACTGGCCTCAGGAGTGAAGCTGCAGACCTTCATGGTGAGTGTTAACAGTTCATAAAGTTGGCGCGTCCGGAGTTGTTCGTTCTTCCCGTCGGGAGTTGTTTGTCCCTCTCTGTGGGTTTGTGGTCTCGCTGGCTTCAGGAGTGAAGCTGCAGACCTTTGCGGTGAGTGTTACAGTTCATAAAGTTGGCGCGTCCGGAGTTGTTCGTTCCTCCCGTTGGGAGTTGTTTGTCCCTCTCTGTGGGTTTGTGGTCTCACTGGCTTCAGGAGTGAAGCTGCAGACCTTCACAGTGAGTGTTACAGCTCATAAAGGCGGCGCGGACCCAAAGGCGAGTAACAGCAAGATGGCTGCCACGGGACCTAGAAAGGGGAGAAGCCATGTTGCCCAACTCCAGAGGTTGGTATAAGAGTTTGAAAGGTATTGTCTGATTTCAGAAGCCTTTTCCTGTAAATGCCAGGTGGCATCTCATACTATCCCTGACTGGTTAGTGTAAAAACGACTTCCCCTAAGAAGGTGCAGAGTCCTCCTTTCTCAGCAGTGAAGAGGTCTAGGCCTTGGTGGTTCTAGGGGAGGGAGGTAACCACTGGGCGGAGGCCAGAGATGTTCCTAAACATTCTGCGAGGCACAGGGCAGCCTCCACCATGATTAGCCATCCAAATCGTCAATAGTGCTGAGATGGGAGAGTTCCCTTGACACCTTTGTAGAACTTGCGACAGGTGTGTGGCTCGTTTACTCCTCCGCCACGCTCAAACCCCTTGCTGGAGGGGGAGCACAAATGTGAGCAGGTGCAGGAGCTGGGGTGAGTGCCTTTGGGTGTCCGCAGGAATGAACCGTGTACTGGCCCGCGGCAGCATCCTCTAAAACCCCGGAGGGGATGTACTACAAACAATGGTCTTTTAGCTTTGCCATCCACGGATGGCTTAAGTGTTAAAACAGCTCAGTGAAGTGTCAGTCTTTTTGGATTCCCACACCCGGTGTATCCCAAATTCTTGTCTGGTGTCCAAGAAGTATCAGGTCACATGAGCAGATTGAAGGGTGGTATATGCACAGGATTTCATTGAGCAATGGGAGTTGCTCTCAGTGTCATGGGGAGCTGGAAATGGGATAGAGTGGAAATATAATCTTCCCCTGGAGTTCAGCATGGGATGGCCAAACTCCTCTCCAACCATAGTCTCTGACGTGCAGACGTTCAGACGCTTCTCTTCTCTCCTCTGCTGCACTGCTCTGCTCCTCTGCCAATGGAGCTTGGGCTTTTTATGGGTACAGGGTTGGGGGTGTGGTGGGCCAGGGTGGTTTTTGAAAAGGCAGAATTCAGGCGTGAAAACAGGGAGTGAAGTTCTCGTTTGGGGCTGCAGGCCCAGGTTTGAGGGCGGAACACTTGCTAGGGACCCCACCCTTTTCTACCTAGTATTTCCCTGCCTCCTGTTTGTATCAGTGCCAAGGTTGAGAAACCCTCTTCTAAAGCAATGATGTCTACATTGAGCCTGATTTTTATCAAAAAATCTAAAGAATCACCTGGCCAGCTTTTAAAAATCCATATGCTTGAGCCCTACCCCGAAGATTTTGATTAAGAAAGAAGAGGATCTCAGGACTTGTGTTGTTCAAAAGCTTTCCAGGTGATTCTTAGGATTGGCCAGATTCAAGAACTATTGTATTAAAGTACACTGAATCTCAACTTTCAGTTTAGAAGAAAACCACCTGGTAAGCATTAGCAGTACTCTCAGAATAGGTTAATGACTCTAAGGCCATTACCTCTTCTGTTTAATTTCTCCAATTACCTCTTTCTCAATTAATGGGGTCATTAAGCACTTAAGACTTGCATTAATTTCCCTCCTCTCTTTTGTAATTCTTTCATTCTGCATAAATCTAGTTTGCAAATGATTACAGCTTGTTAAATATTGTACACTTTCTGTTTACAAACAGAACAAATGACCTAGAAAATGTTTGGCAGCTGTCTTTGTTCATTAGGGTTTAACAGGAAATAGCTGAGTAAACAAGCAGTCTAGCCCTGTAGGTGGCATGGCATGACATATTATAGTCCATTTCTTTGCTACTAAATAACTTAATTCATGCAAGTGAAATTCACTTTAAATGATTTGAAGTTGCTTACTTTAAGGTCAATATAATTCCACTGAACTTAGAAAAGTTTAAATGAATTAATTTTAGGTTTAAGATATTCGTCTGCTTTCCACTTTCCATCATTCTGTAATAAATTACACAAAGGAAATACTCCCTGCTCTCAAGAAACTTGAAAGGTAATACGATGTAGTTGTGGAAATGATGCATAAATACAAGTAACTACAAGAAACATGTCAAACATTCTAAGAAGAGTTATACATTTGAGAGGAAGAGATCTTTTCAGATGAAGATCTAGGAAATTGTTATGGAAGTAGCAGCATCTTACCTCCCCCTACACCCATTCAAAAAATGTTTGCTAGTGCCTACTCCATGCGAGGTCCACTGTATTAGGAGCTAGGGATAAACAGACACAATCCCTCTACTCATGGAACTTACTTTCCTAGAGAGTAGTTAGCCAGTTAATTATTTATTGTGTGCCTACTGTGTGCCAAGCATACAGACAGACAGGCAATTATGATTCAAAGTGATAAGTGCTAAGATACAGGAAGGACATGATAAAATTAATTCTTGGCTGGATTTTTATCACATTGATTCTTTTCTAAGCACAGACATTTCTCTGACCTTATTTGCAAGGACAGGATCATAGGGCATTCATTCACCCTTAGCAACAATTAATCATGATATGGACTTTGATATCTGCCATTTAGTGACATATTGAAATTATCTAGTGGATACTAGTGTTAACTCTGGCCTTCTTCAGGAATCTGTAAAGAATTATAACTAAGAATCTACCAATATAATTCTCAATTTGTTAATACTTCTGATAAAGTTTACTGATAAAACTAAAATGTATTGGCTCTTGTCTATAAATCCAGTACCTATGTCAATTGTGAGATTATTCACATATATGATCACTATACAGAAGTTTATAGTAATGGCTGGCTTTAGTCAACCCTCAAATTATTTCAAATTATGAAACATTTAAAATATACAAAAAGCACAGAAATTTAATATAACAGACACCTACTCACCATAATTCCTAAAAGATAATAATATTTTGCTTTTTTTTGCCTTCAGCTGTGTCTCTGTCTTTTTGCCAGTTTCTTCATAACACAAATGAAATAAAACAATAAAGATACAGCCAAAGTTCCCTTTTGTATCCCTGTCTCCTATTCCTTCAAGTTTTCTTCCTTCCAGAGGAAACCAGTATCTTGAAGTTGGTAAATTGGCATTCTAAATCTCCCATATTAAATTTTTTTCTATACATGTATGAGTATGCATGCATAAATAATATATACTATTGTTTGTTTAACATCTACGCAAATCAATACAATTGTGTGTATCCTTTTGCAACTTGTTATTTTATTTTAAAGCTATGTTTCCCTGATTTTTAGATACACATAGATTCAGTTCATTCATTTTAACCGCAGAACAGCAGGCCATCATATGACTGAGCCACATGACCCTACTGAGAGGGCTTTTCCTCTTTTGTGTTCATAGCATTCACTCAACCTTATCTGTAGTTCAGGTCTCTTTTCCTCATAATATTTTTTGTTTGTCTTTCCTTTTCTTGGTAAGTCTTGCTAGAGATTTGTCCACTTTATTAGTTTTATCAAAGATAAAACTTTCTTTTATTTTTCTATTTCATGAATTCCTGTTGTACTTTTCAATGTTTATTGCTTCCGTCTTTATTTTTTGTCAATTTTATGGAAATATAATTTATATACAATAAAATTCACCAATTTTAAGTGTATAATTCAATGACTTTTGGCAAATGTATACAGTAGTATGATCACCGATACCATCAAGATACAGAACATTTCTAGCAGCTCAGAAAGTTCGCTTATGCCTTTTTGCAGTTAATTCCCTCCTTTCTCTCCCTGAGCCCTGGCAACTACAAATCTGCTTTCTGTTATTATAGCTTTGCTTTTTCTGAGACTTCATATAAACATAAATGAACAGTATTTTGTCTTTTGTGTATGGTTGCTTCAATTAGGATAATGCTTTTGAGTTATATCCATGTTGTTACATGTATCTGTAGTTTGGGTTTTTTTTTTTTTTTAAGTGCTAAGTAGTATTCCATTGTCAAAGTTGACTATTCTGTTCCATGAATCTATTTGTCTCTACATAAATCACTATGTTGATTGTGTGGCTTTTGAGGATGTCTTGAAATATGGTAGGGCAAATCTGAACAATTTCGTTCTTTAAAAAAGGCCGATTGTAGCCGGGCGTGGTGGCTCATGCCTGTAATCCCAGCACTTTGGGAAGCCGAGGGGGATGGATCACGAGGTCAGAAGTTCTAAGACCAGCTTGGCCAAGATGGTGAAACCCTGTCTCTGCTAAAAACTACAAAAATTAGCTGGTGCAGTGGCAGGCACCTGTCATCCCAGCTACTCGGGAGTCGGAGGCAGAAGAATCGCTTGAACCCGGGCAGCCGAGGTTGCAGTGAGAGATCACGCCACTGCACTCCAGCCTGGGTGACAGAGTGAGACTCAGTCTCAAAAAAAAAAGAAAAAAAAAAGTGCCGATTGTGATTTTGATTGGGATTGTGTTAATTCTGCAGATCAATTTTGGGAGAACTGACATCTTAACAGCATTAAGCTATCAGATCCATAGCACTGACTATGTCATCATCTATTTAGGTCTTTAAACATTTCCCTTAGAAACATTTTATAATTTTCAGTGTACAGGTATTGTATATATTTTCTCTAAGTATTTCATTTTTTTTTCTTTCTTTCTTTTCTTGAGATGGAGTCTTGCTCTGTCACCCAGGTTGGAGTGCAGTGGCATGATCTCGGCTCACTGCAACCTCCTCTCCTCAGTTCAAGACATTCTCCTGCCTCAGCCTCCTGAGTAGCTGGGTGAGTGCCACCACGCCAGTTAATTTTTGTATTTTTAGCAGAGATAGGATTTCATCATGTTGGCCAGGCTGGTCTCAAACTCCTGACCACAAACGATCTGACCACCTTGGCCTCCCAAAGTGCTGGAATTACAGGCGTGAGGCACCACGCCTGGCCTGTATTTATGATGATATTATAGATAATTTTTAAAATTTGTGTTTCCAGTTGTTCAATGCTAACATGTATTGTTTGTCCAGTTGTTCGATGCTAACATGTAGAACTGATTTTTAAAATGTTGATTTTGTATCTTATTACCTGCTAAACTTGCTTAAAAATTCTAATAGTTCTGTGAATTCCTTAGGATTTTCTACATACAGGACCAAGTCATCTGTGAATAAAGGCAGCAGTACTTTTCCAATCTAGATGCATTTATTTGTTTTCCTTGATCTATTACACTGGTTAGAACCTTCAGTACAGTGATGAATAAAAGTGGTAAGAGTGAATATTTCTGCCTTGTTTTCTGATCTTATGAGGAAAACATTCAGGCTTTTAAGTGTGATATTAGCTATAGGAGTTTTTAAGTCAAGGTGAAATTCCCTTCTAGGTAGTTCCTAGGTAGTTTGGAGTTTACATCATGAAAGGAAGATGAAGACTGTCAAATGGAGTTTCTGCCTTTATTAAGATGATTATATAACTTTCCTGTTCTTATTTCCTAAATTGATGACATATATTGACAGATTTTTAAATGTTAAGCCAACCTGCATTCCTAAATGTCACATGACATTTTCTTTCTATATTTCTGGACTTGCTAATATTCTGTTAAGGAATTTTATGTTCATGTTTGTGAAGGGTACTGGTTTGTAAGTTTCCTTTCCTTTTACGGCTTTGCCTAGTTTTGGTATCAGGGTAAGGTTTGCCTCATAAAACAAGTTGTGAAGATCTTTCTTTTCTATTTTTTGAAAGATTTTGCAAAGGATTGGTATGATTTCTTACTTAAATGTTTGGTATCATCCACCAGTGCAAACATCCGGGCTTAGAATGTCCTTTGTCCTTCACTCATGTCAGGTGAATGAGTAAGGAACAAAGCCAACCCCACAGTATATAAGTATTCCTTTTTCTCCACAACCTTGCCAGTATCTGTTATTTTTTGACTTTTTAATAATAGCTATTCTGACTGATATGAGATGGTATCTCATTATGGTTTTGATTTGCATTTCTCTAATGATCAATGATGTTAAGCATTTTTCTCACGTGCTTGTTGGCCACATTGTTGTCTTTTTTTTTTTTTTTTGACGGTGTCTCGCTCTGTCGCCCAGGCTGGAGTGCAGTGGTGTGATCTCAGCTCACTGCAAGCTCTGCCTTCCAGTTTCATGCCATTCTCCTGCCTCAGCTGGGACTGCAGGTGCCCGCCACCACGCCTGGCTAATTTTTTGTATTTTTAGTAGAGGCGGGGTTTCACCGTGTTAGCCAGGATGGTTTCGATCTGACCTCGTGATCCGCCTGCCTTGGCCTCCCAAAGTGCTGGGATTACAGGCGTGAGTCACCGCGCCTGGTGGGCCACATGTATGTCTTCTTTTGACAAGCATCTGTTCATGTCCTTTGCCTACTTTTAATGGGGTTGCTTTTTTTTTTTAAATTTGTTTAAGTCCCTTGTAGATGCTAAATATTAGACCTTTGTTGGATGCATAGTTTGCAAAAATTTTCTCCCATTCTGTTGGTTGTCTGTTTACTCAGTTGATGGTTTCTTTGGCTGTGCAGAAGTTCTTTAGTTTAATTAGATCCTATTTGTCAATTTTTGCTTTTGTTGCAATTGCTTTTGGCATCTTTGTCATGAAATCTTTGCCCATGCCTATGTCCTGAATGGTATTGCCTAAGTTGTCTTGCAGGGTTTTTTCAATAAGCCAGATTTTGGGTTCTTTTATTTTTCACTATTGTTTCTTTTCTATTTTATTTATTTTTTGCTTTGATTTTTATTATTTTTCTTTATTCTTATCAATGTTTAATTTACTCTCAAAGTGTTTTAATGTAAAAGTTTATAACATTATTATGAGAGCACTTAATAATATAAATTTCCCTCAAAGCACTACTTTCTATATATTGCATGAATTTTTATACACTGCCTTTTAATTTCCATTTAGTTCAATATATTTTCTATTTCCCTTGTGATTTCTTCTTTTACCCTTAGTTATTTAGAAGTGTATGTTTAATTTTCAAATACTTTGAGTTTCTCTAGATATCTGTTTGTTACTGATTTCTAATTTAACTATTGTGTTCATAGCACATACTTTGTATGACTTGAATTCTTTTACATCTATATGGACTGGTTTTATGGTTAAGAATATGATTTATTTTGGCACATGTTTTGTGTGCAATTATAAAGATTGTTAGGTGGGATTTTTATTAAATGTCGATTTCAAGTTAATTGAAAATATTGGTCAAGTCTTTATACCTTTACTGATTTTCTTTTTACTTGGTCTACATTTAAAATCTTTAACTATAATTGTGAAATTTTCCATTTCTCTTTTCAGTTTTAACACTTTTTTGCTTCAGATGTTTAGGATCTGTTATTATTTGCATATACATAGAAGACTATTATGTCTTCTTAATGAATGAAACTTATATCATTATATATTTACATTGTTTCACTCTGGTAATATTCCTTGCACTGAAATCTGGTTCATTTGATATTACTATGACCACTGAAAGTTTCTTTGGATTGTATGGGCATGGAATTTATTTTTCTCTCATTTTATTTCTAACCTGTCTATGTATTTATATTTAAAGTGGGTTTCTTTTGGACAACATACAATAGATTCTTGCTTTTTAATCCAATCTGACAAACTGTGTCTTTAACTGGACTATTTATACCACTTATATTTAATGTGATTAATATTATTAATATGGTTAGGTTTTTATCTACCATCTGCTATTTGTTTCTTATGTTCTACATCTTTTCCCTCTTCCCCATTTTCTTGCCTTCTTTTGGTTAAGCTGATTTTTTTTATAATTTCATTTTTATCTCCAGTCTTGGATATATATTAGATTTTTCTCTAGGGTTTACAATTACATTATGAACAATTTACAGTTGGACACTTAATCAAAATGTACCACTTTCCATAGAGTGTAAGAATTTTAAAGCAGTATACTTTCATTTTCCTCTTCTATCCTTTGGCTCTTGCTATTGTAAAACTTACCGCTAATACAGTATACATTCAACAAACTTTTGGTTTGGTTTTAAACAATTACTTCTTAAAGGTTTTTTTAATGAGAAAAATATTTAATGGTTATTTTACATATTAATAATTTTCAAATGTCTTCTTTCTTTGTGTATATCCACATTTCCATTTGGCGTCATTTAATTTCTGCCTGAAGAACTACCCTTAGTATTTCTTGTAGTGGGAAAAAATTAAAATTCTTTCTGGATGATGAATTTTCTCAGCATTTGTCTGTCTATGAAAGTCTTTATTTAGCTATCATTTTTGAAAGACAGATATTTTTTGCTTTGTATGGAACTCTTGGTTGCCAGTTTTTTCTTTCAGTGTTTTAAAGATGTCACAGCATTGTCTTAAAGTCTGTCTGGTTTCTGATGAGAAGTTGCTTTCATTCTTTCCTTTGTTCCGCTGTACATGTAACACTCCACCCCCGATTCTGGCTTCTTTTAAGGTTTTATCTTTATCATTGTTTTTCACCAATTTGATTGTGATGTGTCTTGGTGTAATTTTCTTCATGTGTCCTGCTTAGATTTCAATGAGATTTCCGGATCTGAAGTTTTATAGTTTTCATCAAGTTTTTAAAGTTTCAGACATTATTTCTTCAAATGCTTTTGTTTCCTTCATCTTTGACATTGTCCTGCAGCTCACCAATATTCCTTCCTGTTTGTTTTCCCATTGTTTTCACTCTTTCATTTTGGATAGTTTTTCTTGCTATGCCCTCAAAGTAAATTAATCTTTGGTTCTGCAGTGTCTAATATGCTAATTATTTTTAGAATATTTTTCATTTCATATCCTGTATTTTCACTCCTAAAATTCAAGTTGAGTCTTACTTATATCTTCCTTGTGTTCATGTTTTTCTCTGTCTTCTTAAAGTGTGGAGTTGATTTTGCTGTTCTAACATTCTTATTTGTTAAATTTATAATCTCTGCCATTTCTGGGATTGGTTGATTGATTTTTGCCCCCTCTGGCTGTGGGTTGTATTTTCCTGCCTGCTTACCTAACTGGTGATTTGCCATTGGATTCTGGTCACTGATGGTTGCTGGATTTTATCTCTTTAGATATTTTTGGGCTTTATTCTGAGATTCAGTTAAGTTAGTTGAAATGAATTAAATAGTTTTTAAGGCTTGTTTTTAAGTGTTAGGTAAATCCAAAGCAGATTTAGTCTAGGGTTAATTTGCTCCCATTACTGGGGAAATACCTTTTTGAGGATTCTGTTTGATGCTCCCAGTATTAGGAAGTCTTTCTTTCTTGTTGGTTTGAGCATGGACTACGCCTAATGAGAAGTGAGCTGTGAGCATTGTTGCACCTGTTCCTTTCTAATGGTTCTTTCTTTGGTGTTAGGTAACTTCCTTGCATGCTTGTATAGATCTGCACTCATGCAAAGACATAGAGGGGAACCCTACTGCAGATCTCTGGTGCTGTCTGTGTGTATCTCCTGACCTCCTAAAACTTTGAATTCTGTCTTCTCAAGTCAGGAAGGCTGCTGGACTCTGTTTTGTTTTCTCCCTTGCACTGTAGTCTGGAAATTCTCTTCAGGCAGTGACCTGGGGCAATCATAAGGCTTACCTTATTTGTTTCCCTTCTCTTTGGGATTACTGTCCAGCACTGCCTGTTTTTTGATGTCTAAAAACCATTGTTTCATATTTTATCTGCTTTTCAAGTTATTTAAGATGTTAGGATAAATCCCATTCCTATTTGTCTATCACGGTTGAAAGTGAAATTCTCCCTACAATTTTTTTTTTTTTTTCAGTTTTCCTTGTTCTTTATCTGGCTTCTTGAGTTGAAAACTTAACTCATTTAATATAAATGTATGCATTTTTTTAAAAAAGTGTAATTAAAAGCATGTTAAATGTTACGAAGGCTAGGAATTAAGCACTGCATTCACTGTTCCACAATTCTACATGTGTTGGTATGTTGCACTTTCAATTCAGTTTGAAATCGTTTAAAGTTTCCATTGTGACTTCGTTTCATGAGTTACGTTCCATGAGTTACTTAGGGATGTAGTTTTAGTTTCAAAATACTTTAAAAAATCCCTTTTATTATTTCTAATTTGGTAAGTTCAGATAATGTGCTGTGTGAAACTATTTTTTTTCAAATTGTTGAAACTTTCATGAGCAAGTATTTCATTGCTTTTTATATTGTCCCATATATATTTGAAAAGAATGCATATTCTATGTTAGGTGCAGTATTCCATTTATATATCTAATGGACCACATTTTGTCAAACTTACTACAACCATACCAATTATTTTACCATTTAGATGTATCAATTTCTTTTATTTATTTATTTATTTATTTATTTTGAGATGGAGTTTTGCTTTCTGCCCAGGCTGGAATGCAGTGGCACAATCTCAGCTCACTGCGACCTCTGCCTCCCAGGTTCAAGTGATTCTCGTGCCTCAGCCTCCTGAGTAGCTATAATTACAGGCACCCGCCACCACGCCTGGGTAATTTTTGTATTTTTAGTAGAGACAGAGTTTTGTCATGTTGCCCAGGTTGGTTTGAACTCCTGACCTCAGGTGATCTGCCCACCTCGGCCTCCCAAAGTGCTGGGATTATAGGCATGAGTCACCATGCCTGGCCTTTTGGATGTATCAATTTCTGATAAAGGTATGTTAAATTTTTTTTACCATGATCTGATTTGTCAATTTCTTTATGTAGTTTTCAGATTTTGCTTTCTGCTTAGAAGTTTTATTATTATGTTTTTGTGCTATATTAAGTTTCTGGTGCAATATGAGATAATAAACAACTCCAGAATCTCAGTGGCTTCCAAAAAGCATTTATTTCTTGCTGAAAGCTCTGTAGGTCAGCTGGGGTGGCTGTGCTTCAGGCTGCTGGGTAGGGTTAGGTTTATTCCATATTCTGTTAACTCCAGGACCAGTGACTGCTCAGGGCCTTTTCTTCTTAAGAGGGGAATTTATTAGAGAGGAAGCCACACCACAAAAGCATGTTTAAAGCTTCTGGTATATGTTACTTCTGTTTACACTCCATTGGCTGAGATAAATCACATGGTTAAGCTCAACATCATTAGGGCTGGCAAATTAACCCTGTCCCAAGGGTGGCACTGCAAAGTTATATGGTAAAGGGGATGAATATATAATTCTCTTACATGGGGAGAGTAAAGAATTGGAAGCAATAATCTAATAAGCCACCAAAATTATATATTAATAATTTTGATATCTTCTTGGTGTATTAATTTATTCAACAAATATTTTCAGGATAACTACCACGTATAAGGCACTGCCCCAGGTAGATAGGAAATACTAGTGAACAAAAAAGCCAAAGATCCTCCCCTAGGGGAGCTTATATTTTTCCAGGCAAAACACATACTAAAAAAATAAACACAATAAGTAAATTATAATATTATAGGTGCTATGGAACAAAGAAAATGCAAAACAGATGAAGGGTGCTTGGGAACTGCAGGAGCAGAAGACAGGTTGTGGTTTTAATATGGTGGTCAGAGAAAGGACTGTTCCATTATCATCTGTTTTTTTTTTTTTTTCCGGCTGATATTAACATGGCTAAACCCACTTTACCTCCATTAGAATTTGCATGGTGTAGAAGATTAACTTTAAAAACATCTCTAATTCTTTATTCTTCCCTGTATCTACACATTTTGCAAATCACCTGCAGATTTTTACCATTAAGTATAGGAGTTTGTTTCCCTGTTCCTTGAATCTGGGCTGGTCTTGTGATAGAATAGAATTTTCTGGAATGATGATGTGCCAGTTCTGAGCCTGTCCCTCAAAAGGACTGTGTACTTACTCCTGCTGTCTCTTGGAACCTGGCTACTGCCATATGTACAAGCCCACGCTAGCCTGCTGTATGATGAGAGAAATGTGAGGAAGAGCTGAACCAGCTAGCCACACCCCCAAATACATGAGAGAGCAAAGCTAATCCATTGATAACCCATCAGATGACCCCATCTAACCTATAGATTTGGGAATCACATAAATGCTTACTTTTTATGTGGTTGTTTGTTATACAGGATTATTGTGGTAATAGATAATGGATACATATGGTATATACTTTTTATCCCTTCATTTTCAATCTTTGCATATGGTGCTTTCTCAGTGTATATTTTGCAAGTCACATATAGCTGAATTTTAATTTTTTTTTGCCTACAGGGTTTGTAACTTTACATTTTAAATAAACTTAATTATACTTGTCTTTTTTTATAATGCCCAGAGTTAATAATACATAGCTTCATCACATCAAATAAGATAATTCTTGTAAGAGACTTTAACTTCATGCTTATCTGTGCTCCTGTTCCTCTAAAGTATGTTGACATCACCAAGAGTTTTAGTTCTAGATAATGATTCAATTTGTTTAAATAGTGTTCCAGTTTTCTGAGGAATACACAATTATATGTTATTTCACAGATGTGTCACCAGCAATTATTTAAAATTATGCCAATTGCTTAATTCTAAAAGACTCTTTTCCTTCACATTTTAACACTTCTGATATCAGGAGGCATCTCAAAATTAGTGGGTACACTATATAGTTAACCCCATGCTAAATTTATATAGTATTTCTCCTTGATTTATATCATTTTCACATTCCTCTATGTCCTTTGTCTCTGCCTGGTCAAGTCCTCATCCTTAAAGGCTTAATTCATTGTTTCCTCCTCCAGAAAGCTATCCCTAACCTTCTGGTTCCCATCTCTGTGCCTTTAATATCAATCATGTTTTGTTACAAAATCTGTTTGAGCGTCTGCATTCCTCACCAGGGAGAACTTCTTAAGGGAGGTTCCAACTATTGTCCACTTTATATTCCCCTTGGATCTTACGTATTTCTAGAGGCATACATGATTAATATATGTGTGTTAAAAGTATAAATTAAACAACGAATTGAAAGGTAGCTTACAAGAACTGTGAGGGGTCTGAGATTTTACTCTGCTGCAAGCTAACAAGTCAGCTTGCCACAATGTCAGGGATGCTGACAGAAGATAGAAGACCTCCTGAGTTAGAGTCAAAAACGATTACTCACAGCAAAAGCAGTAGCCGGAGTGCAAACTTGGTTGCATTGGTTTCTGGAGCACCAGTTCTGCAGGGCAGCTTAGGTGGTCCTAGACCTATGCTTGCACAAACATGGGTTGTGTCATGGGAGACGAATGTGGAACCTAGAAAATGTACCACTGACAGCAGCTGTGGTCTGAAAGGAGAGCTTACAGCATCTCTCAACATTGCTCACTGGAAATAGCCATGAGAAACGTTCTAGATAAAGAGTGGTCAGGGCCTTCCATCCTTGGCATAACCCACCAAGACATCTAGGCATTTAAGAGGCCCATGGAGTAGTGTTTCTCAATAGTAAAGAAAGCAGTTAGATGCAGATGGTGTTTTTTACTGTTATGATAACAAAACAATAAAAAACAGACATAAGAACATTTGTTACTTCCTCAGGCCACTGAGCATGGGGTTAACAGTTCCTTCCTTGGCCTCCATTGTACCATAATGGAAACTCACAATGAAGACCTTGAACTATCCAGTAAAAGTTAAAACATTTTTTTTTTTGAGACGGAGTCTTGCTCTGTTGCCCAGGCTGGAGTGCAGTGGAGCGATCTCAGCTCACTGCAACCTCCGCCTCCCGGGTTCAAGTTATTCTCCTGCCTCAGCCTCCCGAGTAGCTGGGACTACAGGCATGCACCACCATGCCAAGCTAATTTTTGTACTTTTAGTACAGACGGGGTTTCACCATGTTGGCCAGGATGGTCTTGATCTCTTGACCTCGTGATCTGCCCGTCTCGGCCTCCCAAAATGCTGGGATTACAGGTGTGAGCATTTAAGAAGACAGGATGTGTATAAAATATAATCAGTTTCACAGAAATTCTAGCTGAAATGCTTAAAATAAAAGTTTGGTTTTTAAAGAAGTAAGGTTCAGAAATATAGAATGTTAAGGTATATAGACCTAGTCAATCTTTGATAATGGTAGATAAAAATATTCAAAATTCTTCTTGTGAGATTTAAGGTAATGATACGTGGCCAAAGTTGATGTGTATTCATATTACTAAAAACTTTTTTTTTCACACTGTTGTCAGATGCTTATGTATATCTTTTTGGCTACTCATTGTTATATTTCAAATACATAAAATGTAGATTTTATTCAATTTACATTGATACTTTTAGAAGACTTTGAGAATAGGATGTAAGGGACTTGCTTTTCTGTTTCATCATTAATAATGTGACCCATGACTGGATGACATTAATAAATGATGTTCCATACTAAAGGCAATTCTTGATAAGAGACATTATATTGCTCTAGTACACATGAACCATGAACCAATAATTTCCAATTTCCAAAAGAATTCTTCTCCACAAAGACCACAATGAATTTCAAGTGAGATTTAGGATCTGATTTAAATGAACTTAGAAAAACATTTACTTGTATTTTGTCTTATTTCTCGTTTCCCAACTACTCTCTAAATCATAGAATTCATAGGAAATATTAACTGCTTTTTAATTTCTCCTTGGGAAATTCACCAATTTTATACGTTCTGAACTAGGAATTTAACTAGCTCCTATACATTTACAGAAAGAAATTGACTGCCACATATTTGTGACTATTGTTAGAAAAAGGTGAACACTTTATCCTCGCTACTGAGTTGGGAATATATCTAGATGACATTTATGATTGTTTCCTAAATCAAACAAGATATTTGGGGAAGCTCTACTTGCAAAACATATTAAATGGCAAAGAAGCTTTGGTTAGAAGTGAGGAGGAGGGCTATAAGGAAGAAACAGATAGGAGTAGAAAATAAAAGGGCCAGAATAAATAAAAGAAGTCTATTTTGTAGGCTTGGGGAAGGGAGTGCTGAAGCTAAGGGTGGAGCAATGGCATGCAGAAGAAACTGGGGACTTCCAGGGACAAAGGGGAGGCTGGAGGAGAGGAGTGAGGAGGGGCCGGCGAGGTGGCTCCCGCCTGTAATCCCAACACTTTGGGAGGCTGAGGCAGGAGGATCACCTGAAATCAGGAGTTTGAGACCAGCCTGACCAATATGGTGAAACCTTGTCTCTACTAAAAATACAAAAATTAGCCAGGTGTGGTGGCAGGCACCTGTAATACCAGCTATTGAGAAGGCTGAAACACGAGAGTCTCTTGGACCCGGGAGGCGGAGGTTGTAGTCAGCCTAGATCGCTACACTGCAGTCCAGCCTGGGCAACAAAGAGCAAAACTCTGTCTCAAAAAAAAAAAAAGAAAAAAAAGCAATCAGGACAGGTTTTCTCTAAGAGATATGGCAAGCACATCATAGGACAAGAAGGTAGACAGGAGCTTAGGGGAAGGGGCAGAGCTGGGGGTTTCAGGAAATATTAAGAAAAGGAGCTTGAAGGCAATGAGGGTGGAGCTGGCTGGCTGCTCGACCACCTGGAGGGCTGTGCTGGGGAACCAGAAAGAGCTGTGTGGGAAGGAAAGGGATTGGAGGTTAGGCACAGTGGCTCATCCCTGTAATCCCTGCGCTTTGGGAGGTGGAGGCAGGAGGATCTCTTGAGCCCAGGAGTTTGAAACCAGCCTGGGCAACATAGCTAGATCCCACCTCTAAAAAAATATTAAAAATCAACCAGGTGTGGTGGCATGTGACTGTAGTCCTTGCTACTTGGGAGGCTGAGGTGGGAGGATCACTTGAGCCCGAGGTGGGAGGATCACTTGAGCCCAGGAGGTCAAAGCTACAGTGAGCCATGATCACACACCACTGCACTCCAGCTGACAGAGTGAGCCCCTGTCTGAGAAAAGAAAAAGCTTATCAAAATGTGCAAAACCTTTATAATAAAATCTCCAAAATATTGCTGAGAAATCTAACAAATAAATAAATGACTATTTGGATTTGTTGTTGTCTTCAGATGGAGATGACATTCTTTTACAGCTTTCTTTATTAAAACATAAATAAATAAATAAATAAATAAATAAATAAATAAAGGGAGTGGGATGAAACCTGGGCCTTGGAGAGGGAATAGGATAAGGAAGTCCTAGAGGAGGTTGGGGAAGAGAAGAGCCTGGGTGTGTATGGGAAGCCATAGCCTTCTGCCTGTCTAGGAGGAAGGCCACAAGGCCAGGACACTGTTTCTGGGAGCAGATAAGAGATACAGTGAAAAGGAAGCATGCTTCCTTTTCATGTCCCACTTACAATGGTCTTGTGGACCAGATCTGGTGATATGTATACCACATTTTCAGAAAAATTTCAATAATATCATTTTTATCAGCCTCAGAGCTATCTATTATATGACCAGAATGTGTTCTTGTTGGACATTTATATTGTTTCTAGTTGATGTTTGTATGAGCATGCTGTACTGAATGTCCCTGTAGCTAAGTCTTTGCTCACGATGGCAATAATTCCATAAAGAGAAATTGCTGGGAATGGGAGAGTGAGTGTGGGGAAGGGGAATGCCAGAGCAAAGGACATAAACAATTTTAAGGTTTCAGATAAGTAATTTTCAAATTGCTCCAATTAACATTCTAACACAAGCATATGATGATCTCTGTTTCCCCATGTCCCATTATCACCAAGTATTATTTTAAAAAAAGGTGAGATTTAATTACATCTTAAATAGAAAAGACATCTTTCTTTAAAAAGTGACAGGATGACTGCAGATGTACAGGCATCAAGAGAGATTATCAGTAGGCAAGTTCATGCTGCCTCCCGGTGGCCACATAAAAAACTGACAAGATAGAAAACCAAGTCCAACCAGATAGGGACTATCTAAGCAAGTCATCAATGTTAATTTATTTAGAGCTAAAGTTTTAGAAAGTGAGTGGAAGAAACACAGAATAAATGGACTTGATCTTAGCATATTAGAGGATATGGGAGCAAGAAGAAAAACATTCTTACCACTGACTAGAACATGTGACATGATAGTGCGTGATGCACTCAGAGATGATTTATTAAACTGAGTGATAACAAAAAAAATTAACTTTTCGATGTCAGGCTCTGAGGAAAGATCACTTGCAACTTCCTTGAAGGGGCTATGGGACTATCTATATCTTGAGTATTTCACATCTGTTTCTTCTACAAGACAGTGAAGACAACAAGGTGCAGTCTTCTAAGGTAACTATTGCCCTGAAAAGAATACTCCTAAGAGTAATTATGTATTCTGTGTCTTAGACTATGTTTAGGGAAGAAAGTTTATTTTAACATTGAAATTGTTTCTGTGTGCAAAACACTGTGCTCTCTAGGGACAAAGCAGGAAAGGAAAAGGGAAAAGTTGCGAAGACAAATGACGGTTTTTATACTAAAAGGAGTTATCTTCTGCTGTTTTCCAGAGTTCCATCCTCTTCTCTGTTTATCTGTTTCTGCATGATCTCATCTACTCCCAGGACTGCAAATAGCACTTGCACAGTAATCCACTTGCTTACTGAATCTTTGACTTAGATTCACTGTGGATAAACAATATGCTTAGTATTATTTCCATGAGACTTGATGTTGGAGAAACACACATCAAATAATCATATCAATAGGCATGTATTTATAGATTATGATAAGTAAGGGAAAAAGTTCAGGTTACCATGAGAATGTATAACTTAGTGGTTCTTAAATATTTTTCTCTCATACCCCTAATGCTCTCATACCTGTAATGATTGATAATTAATTTACTGATAATTGGGTACTTGCCTAGATTCTTCAATCTTTTTTTAAAAAATAAAGTACTAAAATTAGAGACTACCTGACTTGAAAAATGATTTTCTACCTAGCCATTAGAATGGTCTACAATCTTAATTCCTGGGAAGCTTAACAAAAGGACTTAAAAAAATTATATGTGTTATTATTTCACCTAGATATGCCTTATTTAACACATATGCTCAGAAAACATACTGTTAATTTTAAGATACTTTTTCAAAACTTTTTTCAATGAGGTATAACATATATATATATAAAGTGCACTCATCTTCAGTGTACAGGTCAATGAAGTGTTTTTGTTTGTTGTTGTTGTTGTTGTTGTTTTTGTGTGTGTGTCTCACAGAAATTTGAATAATATGGAAAAAGACACAATGGCCCTACAAAGGCAGGCTTCACAATGCTACTATTTTAAACAGCTGCTTATTTGTTCAGTGTTTCAGGGGAATTTACACTTCAGGGTAACAGACAGTAATAAATATAGGCGATGAAGACCTTTTTTTTTTTTTTTTGAGATGGAATCTCGCTCTGTCACCCAGGCTGGAGTGCAATGGCGTGATCTCGGCTCACTACAAACTCCACCTCCTGGGTTCAAGCGATTCTTCTGCCTCACCCTCCTGAGTAGCTGGGATTACAAGCGTGTGCCATCACACCCAGCTAATTTTTGTATTTTTGGTAGAGACAGGGTTTCACCACTTTAGCGAGGCTGGTCTTGAACTCCTGACCTCAGGTGATCCGCCCACCTTGGCCTCCCAAAGTGCTGGGATTACAGGCGTAAGCTACCGCACCTGGCTAGGAGACATCTTTATTTATAAATTGGAAACTGGGCAACAGTGAAAGGGAAGGAGAAAAGGGGAACCAACTAGCTGATTCTGACTCGCAGGTGGTTTGGTTCTTAGGCAGCTCAGCCTCAGAAAAAAACACATTTAAAAGATGAGGGTCTGAAAATTGATTCCTTTGGGACTGTTATGCCTGTATACCCCCTTGGGAAGCTTTTGGGCATTTCTAAGTATATAGTACAGTATTCCAGTCATGACTACTCACCCAGACTTAGAAGTCTTCTCAGAGGAAGCAGCCTGTAAGCTGAGAACTGAAGGATGAGTATAAGTTAACTGATGTATAGGTAATGTAAGACCTATATGTTCATGGAGACTTCTTCCAGCAGATTTCAAGTTAAAAAGCATGTAAGTTAGAAAGCAGTATGTGTAGCTTGTCTTTTCACTTTGTTAATGGTTTCCTTTTTGGTGAAGAAGCTTTTTAGCTTTTAGCTTGATGTAATCCAATTTGTAATCCAATTTGCCTATTTTGCTGTGTTTTTGAGGTCTTACCCAAAAAATCTTTGCCCAGATCAGTGTCCTGTAGCATTTCCTCAACATTTTATTCTAGTAGTTCCATAGTTTCCAGTCTTAAATTTAAGTCTTTAATCCATTTTGAGTTGATTTTTGTGTATGGTGAAAGATGGGGATCTAGTTTCATTCTTTTGCATATGGAGATCTAGTTCTCCCAGCACCATTTATTAAAGAGAGTGTCCTTTCCCAGTGTATGTTCTTGGTGACTTTGTCAAAAATGGGATAGCTCTAAGTGTGGAATTTATCTAGGAGGAAATATCTGCAAATCATCCCTCCCACAAGGGATTAACAACCAGAATCTATCAGGAACTAAATAACGAAATGCCAAAAAAAAAAACCCCAAATAATCCAATTAAAGGATGGGCAAAAGACCTGCATAGACATTTTTCAAAAGAAGACATACAAATGGTCAACAGGTATATGAAAAAAAATGTTCAACATCACTAATCATCAGGGAAATGCAATCAAAACAGCCATGAGATATCATCTCACCCCAACTAGAATGACTATTATCCAAAAGACAAAAAATAACAAATCCTGTTGAGGATGCAAAGAAAGGGAACATCAGTACACTCTTGGTGGGAATATAAATTAGAACAGCCACCATGGTAAACAGTATGAAAGTGTCTCAAAAAAACAAAAATAGATCTGATGGATATCTCAATTAACCTGAGAGAATTGTTACACATTGCATACATATATCAAAATATCGTATGTATTCCAAAAATATGTACAACAATGATATATCAATAAAAAATACAAAAAAGAGAAAGGTGTGTGTGTGTGTGTGTTAAAGTGTCCCAAGGTCCCTTGTATTGTTTAAAAAGAGGGTAAAAAGTTAACTTTAGAATTTGCTCCATTAAGTAAGTGTTAAAAATTGTTGAGTGGCCACCAACAATTAGATAGTACCAGAAAAGATAGTACCCGAAGATAGTAGATAGTACCAGTACATAGTACCAGAAAGAATTACCCAAGTGGTAAAGCAGAAAATGGCAGGTGGGGGTAGGGAGTAGGAAGGAGAAATGTATGTAAAGAATAAAATTAAATCAGTTCAAGAGAAAGCATTCCTGGAGAAACCTAGAAAAAGTAGGAAGACAATGCATAAAATAAAATGGTAGAAATCACAAAATATCAGAAATCATAATCAATGTCAATGGACCAAAGGTAAATGCAAGCTTCTAAGACTGACTAAACAAAGAGTAAACAAACAACATTGAGCTACATGTTCTTTATAAAGAGCCACACTAAATCATAAGGACAAGAAAGAAGGTTAGTAAATAAAAGGATATAAAAAGATACACCATGGCAAATACCAACTCAATGAATGTATTTAGCCATGTTAAATAAATGTCAGGTAAAATACCTTAAGGCAAAAAATCTCTTGACATGGAGAAAGTTATTACAAATTGATAAAACGGTCAATTCATCAGAAATAAATTTTAAATCTTTATGTACTTTAAAAAATATATTCAAAGTATAGAAAAGACAAATAGGCAGACTTACAATAAGCTGATAAAAATCACTTTCTGTAACTGATAAAGCTGACAAGCACATCAGTAACGATATAGAACACTTGAACACAATTAACAAACTTGATCTAATGGACATAAATTTTATTATTTTTTTAATTTTATTTTTTTCTCTTTTTTTTTGGACATAAATTTTAAAAATGACTAGGTACTAGGGAAGAAGCAAGTATCAAGAAATTTTAAGTAACTGGTATCATTACAGACCACATTTTCTGGCTACAATGCAATTAATGCAAGTAAGCTACAAATGAGCATCAAAAAGCTAATAACACATTTCCACATATTTGGAAATTAAGAAAAATTATCTTTTACCCAGATGGCAAAAGAAATCTCAATAGGAATTAGGACAATTTTAAACTGAAAGATAAAGAAATTATACCATTAAAAACTTAAGGGATACAACTAAAGTAGTACTTGAAGGGAAATTCATAGCTTAAATATATTTTTCAGAAAATGAGAAAGGTTAAAAATAGAGACAGTAAACATTAAGCTGAAGAAAATGAAGTAATAAAGTCAGAAAAACTAGAAGGAAAGAATACAGATAAAGAAAAAATAAAATGGAGAATAATTACAAGAAAAAACAATACAGATGATAAGACTTGTCAAGAGAAAAAGATATGAATAATTAACATACACAATAAAGGAGGAAATAGTCAAAAGAAAAAGAAAACTGGACTCCATCTGTGAGCATGAAACAACTGATGTGCAAGGCAAGATTTTGCCTCACCTAAAATACCTACCCAGATGACTTAATATAGTTGAGTTTCTAATTTTTCAAAGGACAGTTACTTTCTGTCCTTGTTATATAATGTCATTTAATTGCTGCAGAACACAAAAAAATAGAGTTGTGTGGCTCATTTTATGAGACTAGTAATTTTTCAAATAAAGTGTTTCTTTTAAAATAATTACAAATTTACAGAACAGTTGCAAGAAGAGTAGAAAGAACATGTCCCCTCCCCATTTGAAAGTAAACTGCTGGCATTATGCCCAATAACCCCCGCTACTTTGTCTATTTCCCATAAACAAGGACTTTTCCCTACATAACCCTAACATACCCACTGAGATCAGGAAATTAACATTGTATACATTAATACCATCTAATTCACGGACCCAGTTCAAGATTCTCCAAAATAGAGAAATAGAATTAAATGCAATAACTTAAATATCTGATTAACTGGTGCTCAATAAATAGACATTTCTTTCACTAATTCACTGGGGACTCCTGAGTTTCTATCCTGGTAGTTGCAAGATAGATCTGTCTGCATGAACTCCAACCCTTGCACAGCCAGGAAGTGGGGTGATACCACCCCAATGTGTCACACCCATATGACAAGCTACATCCTCTCCACCACATTAGCCCGTCCAGAGTCTCTCCATGGCCTGGCCCTGAGAGACAAGGCTGTGAGGCTGCCCACCTGGAGCCTAATGCCAGCTTCAAGAACTCCCAGTGGGCACCACCCTTACCAGGCCGCACACAGCTTCCGCCCTCAGGAAGCCAGGGACAGCGCCAGGCGGGACGCTTTGCGCAGCTGCAGGCCTCCCCCGCCGCATTCGGCCTTCAAGCCCGCACATGCTCCCTGGGGCCCCTGCGGGATTACGAGGGGGTGGGAACAGGGCCCGAGTCTCCCGCCATCTTGGGCCCTAGCGGTATTTTTCCAGCTCTGGGAAGAGCGGCCTGACCCGCAGCAGAGATTCTTGGTAAACCCCAGCTCCGTTTATGTATGGTTAGCCTGCTCTAGGTACTATTGGTTTCCATGGTACTTCCCCACTTTTCTCCTCCGACCTACAGGGGCTTTGGCCTCCCAGGGGCGGGCTGCGATCTGAAGTCTGTTGTGGGATCTTCAGCTGCTTCTGTTCTCCCTACCTCTAATGGCGGCGGCGGCTCAGATTCAGCCCTCCCACCCGGGAGCAGCAGCCCTTCCTCGAAAAATGCAGTTATCAGAGATGGGAGCACCCAGCACATGGGGTCAATGATGGCTGATCCTAATGCCAGGCTGTGTGTGAGTGTGAGAGAGACCCTAATGCCAGGGTGTGTATGACACAGTGATCCTAATGCCAGGGTGTGTGAGTGTGAGAGAAACCCTAATGTCAGGGTGTGTGTGTGTGACAGAGTGATCCTAATGCCAGGGTGTGTGTGTGTGTGTGTGTGACAGAGTGATCCTAATGCCAGGGTGTGTGTGTGTGAGAGAAACCCTAATGTCAGGTTGTGTGTGTGTGACAGAGTGATCCTAATGCCAGGGTGTGTGTGTGTGAGAGAAACCCTAATGTCAGGGTGTGTGTGTGTGACAGAGTGATCCTAATGCCAGGGTGTGTGTATGTGTGACAGAGTGATCCTAATGCCAGGGTGCGTGTGTGTGTGTGTGACAGAGTGATCCTAATGCCAGGGTGTGTGTGCGTGTGTGTGTGTGTGACAGGGTGATCCTAATGCCAGGGTATGTGTGTGTGTGACAGAGTGATCCTAATGCCAGGGTGTGTGTGTGTGTGTGTGTGTGACAGAGTGATCCTAATGCCAGAGTGTGTGTGTATGTGAGAAACCCTAATGTCAGGGTGTGTGAGTGTGAGAGAGACCCTGTCAGGTTGTGTGTGAGAGAGACCCTAATGCCAGGGTGTGTGAGCATGACTGAGAGATCCTAATATTGTGTGTGAGTGTGAGAGAAATCCTAATGTCAGGGTGTGTGTGTGAGAGAGACCCTAATGTCAGGGTGTGTGAGTGTGAGAGAGACCCTAATGTCAGGGTGTGTGAGTGTGAGACCCTAATGCCAGGGTGTGTGTTAGAGAAATCCTAATGTCAGGGTGTGTGTGTGAGAGAGAAATCCTAATGTCAGGGTGTGTGTGAATGTGAGAGAAATCTTAATTTTAGGATGTGTGTGTGAGGGAGAGATCCCAATGCCAGGTTGTGTGTGAGAGAAATCCTAGTTCTAGCGTCTGTGTGTGAGAGAGAGCGATCCTAATGCCAGGGTATGTGTGAGAAAGAGATTGTAATGCCATGGTGTGTGTTTGAATTAGATTCTAAGCTAGGGTGTGTGTGAGTGTGCGAGATATAATGCTAGGGTTGTGTTAGGAAGAGATCCGAATGCCAGGGTGTGTGTGTGTGTGTGTGTGAGTGTGAGAGATCCTAATGCCAAGTTGTGTGTGAGTTGTTGCGTGTGTGTGTGTGCGTGAGAGAGAGAGTGAGTTAGTGTAGACCAAAAGACATAAAGAGAGTTAGGGTGTGGAGGTGTTTTTCCGAAGAAATTTATTTTTGATGAGTCACTTAATTGTTGTACCACTTTGGTATACATTCAATTTTTCTAACCTTTTGAAATTAACAAGAAGTATAAGCTCTTTACAGCATGTCAGCTAAAGCAGAGGGTAAAGTGAATTACCTTTTACCCTCTGGAACTCTTTTTCCAGTTCCATCTCCTAATTTATTTGTTTGATACATACCCGTCACACTTTCCTCTATTTGTATATGAACACATATTCATGTATACACGTAAGATATCATTTTAGTACCTTTTTTATATTACTCTGACCTCCTCCCAAATTGTACAGGATTCTTAAGACCTATTCATCAGAGCCAATAGAAATTTTTTATTAGTAATTACAAATATTAAAATAAGTCCTCTGTGAATTATTCTGTTCCTCCATTAATGAACATTCAGGTTGTGCATGTGTGTGTGTATGTGTGTGTGTGTGTGTCTGTGTGTCTTACAGCTTTAGTGAAGTATATCTGAGATATAACAAACTACACATATTTGAAGTGTACAATTTGACATTTGACACATGTATACTCTATGAAACCACTATAAACGACATCGTAAGCATATCCATCACCTTCAAAGGTTTCCTTTGGTCCCACTCGAACCTGCGCTCCCCTTATCCAAGTCAATCACTGATCTTTCTGTTACTATAGATTAAATGGCATTTTCTAGGATGTTATACAAATGGACTCATAAAATGTGTATTCTGCCTCTTTGTGTTTCAGCATAATTACTTTGAGAATCATCCATGTTTTTATGAGTATCAGTGTTTCATTCTTTTTTTTTTTTCTTTGAGACGGAGTTTCCCTCTTGTTGCCCAGGCTGTAGTGCAATAGTGGGACCTCGTCTCGCCGCAATCTCTGCCTCCCGGGTTCAAGCGATTCTCCTTCCTCAGGCTCCCGAGTAGCTGGCATTACAGGCATGCGTCACCACGTCCGGCTAATTTTGTATTTTTAGTAGAGACGGGGTTTCTCTGTGTTGGTCAGGCTGATCTTGAACTCCCGACCTCAGGTGATCCGCCTGCCTTGGCCTCCCAAAGTGCTGGGGTTACAGCATTCCTTTTTATTGTTGGATAGTTTCCATTTTATGCGTTACGACTATTGTATTGTTCCATTGTTTATTGTGTTGACAAACATTTGGGTTGTTTTGTTTTTGGCTCTTACAAGTAAACTTGCTGTGAACAGTCTCCTACAAGTTTTTGTATGGACATATACTTTCATTTATCTTGAGTAAATACTCGGAAGTGGAATGACTGGGTCATGTGGAAGGCATATGGTATATATTTAACTTTTAAAGAAGCTTCCAAACTGTTCTCCAAGTGTTTCTATCGTTTTACAGTTCTTTCTGAAGTCTGTGACCTTTGCAGTTATTCTATACCCTCACCAGTGTTTGGTACGGTTGCCCTTTAATTTCAGCCATTCTAGTGGATGTGAAGTATTATCTTAGTGCGATTTAATTTGCATTTTCTTGATAACAATGATATTAAGCATCTTTTTCAAATGCGAATTTTCCATCAATAAATCTTCTTTGGTAAAGTGGCTGCTAAATCTTTTACCTATTTTTAAATTGGATTTTTTTTTTATTATTGAGTTGTAAAAGTTCTTTATATATTTTAGAGACAGGTTCTAGGCTATATGTTTTGTAAGTATTTTCTCACTCTCTCAGGCTTGCCTTTAGTCTTTTTATTGTGTCTTTGGAGGAGCAAAATATTTTAATTTTGATAAACTTTGATGTATTGATTTTGTCCCTCTTTAGCAGTTTGAATTTTTTGTGTCCTATTTAAGATGTCTTTGCCACGTCAAGGTACCTATGATTTTCTGTTTTTTTCTGAGAAGTTTTATACATTTAGTTCTTATATGTGGGTTTATATTCCATTTAGAATAAATTTTTGCATATGGTCAGTTTTTTTCCCTCTTTTAAGCGTATGGCTATCCAGCTGTTACAGCATCATTTGTCGAATTGCTGGCACCTTGGTTGAAAATCATTTTATCTTTTATTGACTTTATCTAGGTCTTATTTCTGCATTCTGATCTGTTCCAGTGAATTATATTTCCACACCAGTACTACACCAGTACCACAGTGTCTTGAGTGCTGTAACTTTATAATTAGTCTTAAACTCAGGTAAGCATAAGTTCTCAAATTTTAATCTTTTTCAGTTTATTTTTTTATAACCTATTTAGACCGTTCTGTTCCTTTGCATTTCCATAAAAGGTTTAGAATCGCGTTTGAATTTCTACCAAAATGCATCCCAGGATTTTGATTGGGATTATGTCAGTTCTGTAGGTGACTTTGGGGAGAATTGATACCTTAAAATTAATTTACATCATCTTTAATTTCTCTTAGCAGTGTTTTATAGTTTTAATTTTGTAAGTGTTTCAACAAACATCTTTCAGTATGTATTCTTATATTCATAAGGATAGATTACCAAGAGTAATCTTGGTATCAAAAGATGTGAGGACTTCAAGATTAATGGTACTATAAGTTTACATGACAAAAATATTATAAGAATTTATTCTCTTACCTGGAACCTATGAACTTTCATTCTCCACGTATTTGTTTGTTCTGGATATAATCATTCATTTATGTTTTTCCTAATACAGTACATGGAAGAGGAATTTTCATTCTTCTTTCCCCCATACTAGTGATATGGAACATATTTTTATGTTAAGGATGCTTTTTATCTATATTCCATGTTATGGTTTTTTTTTTAAATCTGTCATTTGTCTATTCATATAATTTTTTTTTTTTTTGAGATGGAGTCTCACTCTGTCGCCCAGGCTGGAGTGCAGTGGCGTGATCTCAGCTCACTGCAAACTCTGCCTCCCGGGTTCACGCCATTCTCCTGCCTCAGCCTCCCGAGTAGCTGGTACTACAGGCGCCCGCCACCACGCCTGGCTAATTTTTTGTATTTTTAGTAGAGACAGGGTTTCACCGTGTTAGCCAGGATGGTCTCGATCTCCTGACCTCGCAATCCACCCACCTCAGCCTCCCAAATTGCTGGGATTACAGGCATGAGCCACCATGCCCGGCCTGTATTCTTTTCTGTATAGCAATTTTAGCATATATGTACTTAACTGTGTTCTTCATTCCTTTTATGGTTTTTGGGTTTCTATCTTTCTTAAGATTGTCCACCTTATCCTAAAATATTTCAAATGTTTTTCTAAATTTTCTTCTAACTTTATGGCATTTTGAAAAGAATTTTGTTTCTTTTTTTTTTTTTCTTCACTGTCAGAGAAGAAATGTATGGCCATTTATAGAGAAATTCGAAGTGGAAAAATCAGAAGGAAAAATCACTGTCACTTAATATAATCCATGGGAAAACAAGTGTTTTCTTTAAAAAATGTTATTGTTATTTATTTTTTTTTTGACAGAGTCTTGCTCTGTCTACCAGGCTGGAGTGCAGTGGCAGGATCTTGGCTCACTGCAATCTCTGTTCCCCAGGGTCGAGCCATCCTCCCACCTTAGCCTCCTAAGTAGCTGGGACCAGAGGTGCACGTTACCATGCCCCACTAATTTTTGTATTTATGGCATTGTGTTTCTCTTTCAACAGTTGATGAAATTTGGGTAGTTTTCACTTTTAGTTGTTAGGAATAATGCTACTAAGAATGGTCCTGTCCAAATTTTTGTGTGGATGTGTTTTCAGTTTTCTTTGGTCTATATCTAGTAATGGAATTGCTGTTTTAACTTTCTGAGGAATCACCAAACTTTTTGAAAATGGCTGTACCGTTTTACAGGTGCAGATTGCAGGAGGGTTCTAATTTGTCTACATTCTTGCTAACGCTTGTAATTGTTTGGTTTTTAAAATACAGTCATCCTAGTGTGTCTGAAGTGGCATTTCATTGCAGTTTGTTTTCCTAGTGACTAATGATGTTGACTATCTTTTTATATGCTTATTGGCCTTTTATGTATCTTTTCTGAAGAAATATGTAGTCAAATCCATTGCCTGTTTTTAGATTGCATTGTCTTTCCATTGTTAAGTTTGGGATCTTTACATATATTGTGCATTAAGCCCCTTATCAGATAGGTGATTTGCAGATATTTTCTGCCATTTTCAGGGTTGACTTTTCACTTTTCTGATGGGTCCTTTGGAGTACAAGTTTTTTTTAAACTTTGATGGTCCAATTGATCTGTTTTTTTTATCTTTTGTTACTTGTGCTTTTGGAACCATATTTAAGAAGCCATTGCCTAACACATCTTGATATGTTTTCTGTTCCTTATAGCAATACCTGAAACTGGGTAATATATAAAGAAAAGGAATTTATTTCTTACAGTTATGGAGACTGAGAAGTCCAGGGTCAAGGGGCCACCTCTGGTGAGAGCCACCTTGCTAGTGGGGACTCTGCAGGTCCTGAGGTGGTACAGGGCATCACGTGGACAGGGGGTGAGCATGCTAGTTCAAGTCCTTCCTCTTCTTATAAAACCACCAATCCTACTCCCTGATAACCCGATAACCCATGAATGGATTAATTAATTCATAAGGACAGTACCCTCCTGACCTATTCACCCCTATTAAATGTCCCACATCTCAATGATTAAGTTGCAATGTGAGTTTTGGAGGGGACAAACATTTAAACCATAGTAGTCATGAAGATTTATTTCAAAATTTTTAAGGAATTGACAGCTTTAGTTCTTACCCATAGGTTTTTTATCCATTTTCAGTTGCTTTTTGTGCAGATGCTTCTCAACTTACAATGAGATTAAATCTTGATAAACTCATTGTAAATTGAAAATACTGTAAGCTGAAGATGCATTTAATGCTGGCAACAAAAGAGATGGTCCCTGACTTACCATGATTCAACTTAGGATTTTCAATTTTACAGTAGTGCGGAAGCAATACACATTCACTAGAAACTGTACCTCCTTTTTAAGTTGTGAGGAGCTTTTAGATTTCTATGGGGTTATATCCCCCAAAATTCCTTGTAAAGCTGAAAAATCTGAAGTCGAACCATCGTAAGTCTGAGAACATCTTGTGTATATTGTGTGAGGTCGGGGTCTGACTTCATTCTTTTGCATGTGGGTATCCATTTTTTTTTCAGGACCATTTATTGAAAATATTATTTCCCCGTGAATAAACTTGGCATCTTGTCAATGTTTACCTTTTTCAGTGTGTTAATGTTGACACTGATGGTGCAAAAGCAATGGTGGATAAAACTGCTGGCACCTCGCTGTGAATCAAGGCAATGGCACCAAACTATTGGTAGTCATTGTATTATTTACTACCAAACACTTGCAATAAAAAAGGTGGCAGTTTCACTTTAAAATGTCCTTGATCTAGCAGTAAAAATGAATGATATTAAAGCATGATCCTTGAAAATATGTCTTTTTAATATTCCATGTGGTGAAATGGGAGGTACTCATAAAATCACTTCTGTTGATACTGAACTGTGCAGATCGACTCTAGGAAAAGCATTTGATGTAACTAGTTGAGTTGCAAACCAGTGTAGCAAACTGAGTCAGATTTGGGTACTTTGCACATTGAAGCAAGCTCCTCACTTTAAGGAAAACAACTGACAGTATCTGTCAATGATAAAATCCAAGTTTTAAAGCAAAAATTAGAAAAGTCAGGAAAGTTATGTCTGCCATTTTGAGTTTGATGGTATCCCCAAATTTGATGACTTTTCTGATGAGATTGCTGGTGATACCAATCAGTTTTGTTTGGGGATGTTAGGTAATGTAATATGTCGACATATGGAAGATCTGTACATCTAACCAATATTTTCAAATTAATCCATGTGATATCTTATAAAATCATGCATATTTAAAAATTTCAAAGTACAAGATAGGTAGGCCAGTGGATTTTAAGATAATACAAAAAGTTCCCTTATGATTTTATATTCCACATTGTAAACTAACTTCGAAGAAACTACTACTCATTGAGTTGTTGTGCATATCAAAGAACGTCTTCAGTTATATGAAAAAGCTTTTAACGTTCTCCTTCCTTCTCCAACTACGTATCTGTGTATAGCTAGCTTTTCTTCACATCCTTCACCCAGAATAGCCTATTGCAACACATTGAATGTAGAAGCAGATATGAGAATCCAGCTTAATTTCTATTAAGCAGACATTGAAGAGATTTGTAAAAATTACAAAACCATGTCACTTTTCACTAATTTTTTGGTTTTAAGAAATATAACCATCTCTCATGAAAATATCTGTGTTTTTAGTGGGTTTAGTATTTTTAAATGAATTAAATATATTTTAAATTTCTATTTTTATTTCTAAAATGATAAACGTTGGTAGATATAAGTTACATAAATGAAAACTCTTTGAGATCTTCAGTGATTTATAGGACTATAAATGTGTCCTGAGAACAAAGGTTTGAGAACCACTAGTTTAATATAACTTTTTTGTTGCTTTTGGTAGAGAGGGTAGGGAGGGGCTAGGGACTATTAAGTTTGTGGGAGGTTACAGTTTTAATTAGAGTAGTCAGGGAATGCGTCACCTAGAAGGGGATCTTCTGACCAAAACTTGGAGGAAGTGACGAAGCAAGCTGTGCTCTGACAGCAGTTAAGCCCAAAGCCCAGAGGTGAAAAGATTCACGCAATGTCAAGGGAGGAATTGCAGCTTCAGTGTAATAAGTGATGGGAGTGTAATAGGAAATAAGGTAATAGAAAACACGGGAGGTTTTGGTGGTGGTGGTGGTGGTGATGGTTAGCTCTGTCGGACTTCATAAAGCCATTTTTGATGGCTTTAGTTTTCACTCAGTGAAATTAGAAGCCACTGATTTTTTTTTTCTCTCTTAGCATATTGTATCTTATATTTTAAAAAGATCACTCTGGTTACAATGCTAAGAATATTCACAGGTTGGGATGGGGTGGAGTTAAGGCTAAAAGACTAGTGAGGAAGGTAGTATTACAGATGACAGGGGAAGATAGTTTAGGCCAGGATTGTGGCAGCAGAATTGCAAGTGTCAGATTTTTATATGCTCTGGAGATGAACCCAGTAGAATTTCCTGGTGGATTGTGAGTGGAATGATAGTGGGGTCATGGATGATGAAGATATTTGGCTTGAGAAAATCCTTCATGCAGTAAATTAAATTGATTTTAATGTTGTTTATAGCTTCATTTTTTGCCTATAGTTAACAAAATTAATATATTAAAAAAATTTTATGACCTCTGGGTTTTGTCTTCTAAAAGATGTCTCCCTTAGTAAGATTAGAAAAATATTCTTGTATTTTCTTCTAATTCTTTTAGATAGTTTTAATAAATTAGTTCTTTTATCTACCTGGTATTTATTTTTGCTCTCACTAAAGCAGAGTTTCTCAGATTCAGAACTGTTGACATATTGGGCTGAATAATTCTTTGTTTGTGGAAGAATGTGCTCTGCTGTGCATTATAGGATATTCAGCGGCATCCCTGGCTTCTACCCACTAGATATTGGTAGCACTCACTTCCTACCTCAGTTAAGACAACTAAATGTATTTCCAGATGCCCCCAGATGTTCCCTTGGGGAAAAAATTGCTCCTAGTTGTGAACTTCAGTAAAGAATGTTAAAAAAAATGAAGCCCTGATTCTGAAATATGCATACTCAAATAGTATATCCAGTTTTATTTTCATCACATCAGTGTCATTAACAAGGTGAATCTAGAGACTATTCTGAATATGTGGAAAAGATGGGAGGAGGAAAACCAAAGCACAGATGCTTCAACTTGCAGTCTTTTGGAACATAGTGACCTTGCCAGAATACTGGCCAAAGTTTGAGCAGAATGACCTTAAATTTTGAAAAAGGAAGAATTATTAAGCAGATTCTGTCCCAGAATGGTGCTTTGCTTGTTTGTTTTTGTGGGTTTTTTTCTTTTGTATTTGCATCTTTCATTTTTATTTTGGCTCTTGTCCATGATTATGTACTTTAGTTGAAACAACAGTGTAAAGCAGTGGAAATGAAATAATGTACATAGTGAACTGGACTGATAATCAGAAAACCTAATCAGAAACCTAAATCTCTTTTTAGATTTCAATTTTGATCAATTTCGGTTTCAGTTGATCTTCAGTTCTGTGGTCCGAAAAATGAAGGATCTTATTGTGAAGATCAGTTAAACTAGTGTACTAAAACCTTTAAAAAATTTAAAGCATTATAAGGAGTTATTAATACAAGGAACTATTATTTTACCTGCTTTAAGATTTTTGACAAAATTTATATTTAAAACTTAAAATTGTATCATAGTTCTAGACCTGTACATTGAAATACTGTAGTCACTAACCACATATAGCTATTGAGCATTTGAAATATGGTTAGTCCAAATTGAGATGTATGCTAAGTGTAAAATGTACACCATAGTTTGAAGACTTAGTATTAAAAAGAAATCAAATATCATAATATTATGTTGATTACATGTTGAAATGATAATAGTTTGGATGTATTGAGTTAAAGTAGATTATGAAAGTTAATTTCATTTGTCTCTTTAATTACTTTTAAATGGTGTTACTGGATTACTTTATATATATGGCTCAATTGTGTTTCTAGTGGACTTTACTGGTCTGGACTTGTTTGATGTTAATTTATAGAAGATAAACTCCAATGAGTGCCATTATCTATAATATATATTCTATAGAATCAGGGAATTTTAGTATAGAAAGGGTTTTCTCTATCAATTTTAATAGTATTTGTAGATTATATTTTCCTCAAACCTCAGGGGAACTGTGATGCTGTGTATTTTTTATTTAGATTTAATTCAGGTGTTTGGGAACTTTGGATTTAAATTTGATTTTTTAAAATATAATTTTTATATAAAACATTCAAATATTATATACTAAATTTAAAAGCAGAAAAGAGCACTAGTTAGTGCCATTAGATTAACTCATTGATTATTTAAGTTGTGGCTATCCCATATTTTTGTTTGACTCTGTGTTGGATCATGTATGATTTTGGAAGCAGGTAGACTGTTCCATATTTGTGAGCCTGATTTTCCCGATACTGTGCTATCAAACATCATAATAAGTCAAATTATATGATAAGGCTGCTATCGGCTTGTTTTTAATAGAATAACTTTATTAGTCTCATTTACTGACTTCAAAATTTTATAAATGTATGAAATTGTTAGAACACTAATGAATCCATTTTATAGGTATTTTGATTTTTGCAAAAAAATCTTTTGCATTTTACATTTTAAGATTTCTGCTGCAGAAAAATAGTTTGAAAAATCCTAATTTAATTAAACTTTTCATTTTACAGATTTAGAGTCTGATTCTAAGGAAAAATAGTTTCCCAAATTTCACACAATTAATTGAGTACTGATATCTGAATCCTGTGTATACAGTGTAAGTACTTTCTGTGATATAATAGTCTTCTAAGGATTATCATATTTGAATAAGGGTTGGATCTAGAACATCTTGATTTAAATTATGTCTTTAAAGTAATACATTTGTTCATTGTGTAAAATAATTAGTTTAGTTTTAAATTTTATATATAAATTGTATTTATATATAAATTGTGTATAATTATATTTATACACAATTTATATATATAAATAATTATATTTATATATAAACAATTAGTTTAGTTCTAAATTTTATATATAATATAAAATATATTATGTATTAAATATTATATATTTATATAATATATTTTATATATAAGATATAATAAAAAGATATATACATATTTTTATATATATAAATATCTATAATAAAAAAGATGTGTATATATACACCTGAATTTTCTTTGAATTATTTTCATTTGGTCTTTAGATGCCCAAGGGTAGGAGCTTTGTCCATGACACTGGGAACTTTCTTCATGACCCTATTTAGTAAGCATTGTAGAGGCAGGTGAAAGAGTTTGACTGACATCCACAGGATAGGTTATGTTGTCTACCTGATGAAGAATTTTTTTTCATTGTGGGGCCCTCTGGTGAGTATCACATGGGACCTAAAATTTTCCTATGTGCCAATTTATAGAGGCTCATTCACATACCTCTTCTTCAGACGTTTTTGTAATAAGTCTTCCAGTCTTGTTCCTTCAGCATTCCTAATCATCTTGCAGAAACTATTAGCCATTGCATATTAATATGCATAGGTTATTAACTCAAGCAATTTCTTCTTTAGGCAAAGTAGATGTAATGGTAGGTCTTTCTACTGTGAAGATTTTCTTTCATTTCTTAGTCTGCCACCCTACCCCCATTCCCACCCCCACACCCGGGTTGGGGTGTAATGCCTCAGCAGTCTATTTCTGGATGTTACTGGCATTAAGTGAGAGCCATGTATAAACCAGATGTTTACCCCTTCTGATGTGGAATTCCCCAGGAGTCCATCTGTATTGTTTGAGGGAGAGATAGTGACGTGGAGGAGTAGGTTTTTGATAGTTTGAGTAACCTATTTAAAAAGTTCCTTGTGCCTTTGGGCTTGGTTGTCTTCTATGTACTGTATATACCACCTCTGTTTAATGAAGGAGATCTTCTGGGTACCTCTACTTTTTATACATGAAAAAGGGTGGCATGGTTCCTGAAAGATGTATGTAAATTTTTTCTTTCCCATATGCCCATGTGAATGATCACAGGGCCCTTCAGGTGAATGCCAGGAAGACAGTTTTGGTATAATCCAGTACAGGATTCTTTGAGAGTACCTGGTTGTTTCTTCATGTAAGGAATTAATGGGGCTATAAACTGAGTAAAGTGTGGGAATTGGGTGAAGGCCTGTGACTAAATAATGAAAACATTTAGACTTTGGTGAGACTTTATATTCTGTCCCTACATACTCCTCTTTCATCTTTTTATCTTTTTCCTCTGAGCTTTGGGGTATTTAGTCAAAATTTTCTTCTAATTTATTTTTATTTTAGGTTTTATTTTCCCATTATACTTTGAAATCTATCATGTGTGTATAGTTCATCCTAATATCAGTTGTTATGTTTTCACCTTTTGACCTTTTTGAGAACAGGACTTTGCTATTTCTTTCAGTACATCTATTTCTATGGAGTAGCATTTCCTTGGTTTCTTTTAAGAGGTTCCCTCATTTTGAGGGGGAAGGCATCCAATGTTTTTCTCTTACTCATCCTCATAGAAATAAATTAATGCCTGTCAACTGTTAACTCAGAGTCAAGGAAGAGTTTAGCTGTATTCTGTCACAGTAGATGATGGTTCTTGCCTGAAATTGGGGATTATTTGTATTTCTTGAATATTTGCCTTATTTTTAGAATCCTAAAAATCCACAGATTAGCTATGGTAGAAAATTTTGCCTTGATGCTATAGATTCCTTCCCTTTTCCACTTATTGTGGCCAGTCATGCCAGTGATAAGGTCTGGATATACCTAACCTACTTCAGTGTCTTTCTATGCTTAGCTTCCCTTAGTGGTGTCCAGGTCTCAGCTGATTTCCCTCAATCAAAGATGAATCCCGGGATTGTATAATGATGCCGATAGAGTCCAAATATTGCGAGTTCCGCACAGAGTGGGGAGTGAAAACAGTGTGCCCCTTTTTGGTTCACCATCTGCCCTTCTAGCACTCAACTCTTTGAGTTATAGGTTGTTGGAAAGAGTTTGCATGAAGGAAAGTGGTTGTCTCACAGGAGGAGAAGGAGGTCCCCAGTGAGGCTAATTTAGCTCCTTTCATTACACCACATCTGTCCAATATCCAGCTGGAATTTGTTAAAGTTTCTGGAAAATAAAGGTTGCTCCTCTCTGTTTTCCAGTGATGGTATTCTTCCTATTTAAAAAAAGTTTTTGTAATTATTTCAATGAAAAATTTTAAAAGTATAGAAAGCAGTGAATGTTAGATTTTGTTTATTTCACCAGCGTCTCATTCGATATGTATAATTTTTATCAACATGTTTAAATTTGATAAAATACAGGCATATAATTATTTTTAGTTTTATATTTATATGCCAAACATAAGGCTAATTGCAGTTAACTTTGATAGCTAATGAGTAATTATTATTTGCTTTTTAGAAAATGGATTCTACATCTTTCTTACCAACATTTTTAGATGTGGATCTGACAATATCACATATTAAATGTCTTCCCAAGGATATTCTGGTGAAATTTCAAGGCATAAAGAGTAATGAATGTGAGTTTGACTACCATGTATTGCAGAGAGAAATACAACATACTCCAAAAGTGAAAAATAATGTGGAAATTGATGAATTTTGTTTGGTGGAAGAAAGAGTATCTGGAGAATGGCAGAGAGGAAGAGTCATGGAAAAGAAAAATGAACTCTATACAGTGCTCCTCATAGATCGCGGAGAAGAACTAAGAGTTGCTGGTCCACAGATTGCTTCAGCCTGTGGCAATTTATTTGAGCTACCGCCACGGGTAGTATTTGGTATTTTTGCGAATATACTACCAGTTGGGGAAAAATGGTCCCCTAAAGCTTTGAATTATTTCAAGTCATTAGTAGGAATACAAGTGAAAGGTTATGTGCAAGCTATTTTACCTCTGCAAATGTTTCTTTTTGAAGTGCCAAAAATTATATCTCAGGCTCTCGAGTTACAATTAGGAAGACTTGTTGATGGAGATTCATTTCGTCTTATTGTGGAAATGTTAGAAGAATTCCCTCAACAAATGCCAGATTTATTACAACATAAAAGGCCTGAATTGTCATTAGGTAATAAAGATACTTCACTTGATATTCAGCATGTTCTGGATAAGTTGCAGCCATCTTTGTCAGTAGGAAGTACTGAAAGTGTAAAGGTATCATCTGCATTGAGCCCAAGTAAATTTTATTGTCAGTTAATTAAATGGACTCCAGAGCTAGAAAACTTGACAGCACATATGACTTTGCATTATGATACCGTCTGTCAAGAAACTAGTCCCACGTGTGATAATTTTGGACTGCTTTGTGTTGCCAGAAGGCGAAATGGACAGTGGCATAGAGGAATTCTTCAGCAGCTCTTGCCCCCAAATCAAGTAAAAATTTGGTTTATGGATTATGGCAGTAGCGAGGCTATACCCTCAATTTATGTAAAGAAACTTAAACAGGATTTTATTTTAGTACCATTATTTTCATTTCCATGTTCTCTGACATGTTTGCACAGTCCAGATAGAGATGCAAGAATATTTCAACTGAGTATATTTAAACAGGCCTTATTAGGACAAGTGGTATATGCACACATTGATTGGTTCAATAAGGATGAGTGTTTGTATTATGTGACATTACAAACTCAAGAGTCTACAGTTAATTCTAAGTGTCTACTGAAGACTGTAGGCACACAAGTACTTTGTCCGATGTCTGATTCAAAAATCTCCAATATCTTGAGTGAGACAAGTGTGTCTGATGTAAACAGCTTTGCAGTTGAGAGTTTTATGGGAAATATTGAATGGTCAATAGACTCTCTAAATAAAAAAGGCATTTTAAAAGTAGGTTTTCCCATTAAAACAGTACAAATGGAGATAGAGGCTGCCTACATAGCTTTTATAGCATATGTATTAAACCCATCAAATTTCTGGGTACGCACTAATGACCATCGGAATGAATTTCAAGAAATAATGAAAAACATAAACAAATTTTATGATTTGTGTGAAAACGATGAAATGATTCTAAGAAAACCTGAACCTGGATTATTTTGTTGTGCTAGATATAGCAAGGACAGACGTTTTTACAGAGCTGTCATCACTGAAATTAATGGTTATAAGATTAATGTTTATTTTTTGGATTATGGTAATACTGATTCCATACCATTTTTTGATGTAAAAATTTTGCTTCCAGAATTTTGTGAGTTGCCTGCCTTAGCGATGTGCTGTTCACTTGCACATATATTTCCTGTTGAAGATTTATGGACTAAGGCTGCAATTGATTATTTTAAAAAATTAGTTTTGAACAAAGCAATTTTGCTTCAGGTTATAGCAAAAAAAGATGACAAGTACACTGTAAATATTCAAAGTGTTGAAGCCTCAGAAAATATTGATGTTATCTCTCTTATGTTACAAGCTGGATATGCAGAATATTTTCAAGTAGAACTAGAATATTTTCCAAAATCTGTAAGTGAATATTCAATGCTAAATTCAGAATCTAAAAACAAAGTTAATATTAAAAAAGTCATATCTGCCCTTCTTGAAGGACCTAAATCTAAAAAGTACCATTCAAATAACCTGGTGGAAAATAACTTGTCTTTGCCAAAGTCCCTAGCTGTTAATATCTCAGAATTTAAAAATCCTTTCACCTTGTCTGTGGGACCTGAGTCATCCTGGCCTTATAAAGAATATATTTTTAGACCAGGAACAGTTCTTGAAGTTAAATGTTCCTGTTATTATGGCCCAGGTGACTTTTCATGCCAGCTCCAATGTAAGTCAGAAGACCTAAAATTACTAATGGAGCAAATTCAGAATTACTATAGTATTCATTCTGATCCTTATGAGATTGGGCAGACTGCTTGTGTTGCTAAGTATTCTGGGAAGTGGTGTAGAGCTGCTGTTTTGACTCAAGTATCAAAAGAAGTTGACATAGTGTTTGTTGATTATGGTTACCAAAAAAGGGTTTTAATTGAAGATCTTTGTGCAATTAACCCACGTTTTCTCTTGTTAGAAAGCCAAGCCTTCAGATGTTGTCTTAACCATTTTATTGAGCCTGTTAGTTGTAAATTATTCAGTTGGACAAGAAAAGCATTCAGAGACTTGTGGAATTTTATCTCTTCATCTAGAGGGTTATTGACTTGTATCATCTATGCCTTAGTTATTATACATCCAAACCATTTATATAACTTAGTGGATTTACAGTCCTCATTTACTAGTGCAAAAGAATTTCTTATGAATCGTGGCTCTGCTCAGTATATCACATTATCAGAGACATTCCCATCTTTATTTAGTCTTTACAGTTACTGTTATTCTTCCTTTAATATACAAATTGGAAGTGAAGAAGAAGTATATATATCTCACATATATAGTCCCCAAAAGTTTTATTGCCAGCTTGGCAGAAATAATAAAGATCTAGAGATGATAGAAACAAAAATCACAGAGAGTGTTAACCTCCAAAATTTTCCAAAATATGATTCTAATAAAATGAGAGTGTGCATATCTAAGTATGTAGAGGATGGTCTCTCATACAGAGCTTTAGCAATACCAACAGATTCATCATCTGAGTTTCAAGTCTATTTTGTAGACTTTGGAAATAAGCAATTAGTAGGAGAAAATATGTTGAGGGCCATTTCAGCTCAGTTTCCAGAGTTGTTGTTTACACCTATGCAAGCTATTAAGTGTTTTTTGTCAGATCTTAGGGATGTAGATATTCCAGCAGAAATCAGTAGTTGGTTTAAAGACAATTTCTTGGGAAGATCATTAAAGGCGATAATATTGTCCCAGGAGTCAGATGGACAGCTTGGTATAGAATTGTATGATGGATCTCAATATATAAATGAGAAAATTAAAGTGTTGCTTCATGCTTATGGAAAAAGACATTGTGACCAAGCATGCTGCATGGAAAAGAGTAATAAAATAAATGAGAATAAGAGATTTACTACTTCTTTGAAAGGCAAAACAGGAAACAACTATCGCCATAATGTGATAAATAAACCTAGTCCAGTAACATATTCCGAAAGAAAAATAGACCAATTGATGCATCCCAAAAATATACATGCCAGGTTTTTGAAGCCATCAGTTTGTTATAAAATGGAACCTGTGTCAAAAAACAAAATGAAGACTTCTTTGAATGATGGGCTTAAAGGTATAAAAATTGTCCCTGGAGCTGCACATATTCTTGAGAACAGGCGTGTGGGCCAAAAATCAGTAAAGGTTGTATCACAGTCTTTTATCAGAGCATTAAATCAAACAACCTCACAAAACCCATATGACCTTATTAGGCCACAGATCAAAGACCTTCCTCAACCGCAAATTTATTTGAATGCCAAAGTTAAAGGGTATGTATCTAATATCAGTAATCCAGCGAATTTCCATATTCAGCTTGCTGAGAATGAAAGTGTAATTATCAGACTTGCTGATGCTCTAAATGCAACAGCAAGGAGATTGAGAGAGAGAAAATCAGTTAAACCTCTAGTGGGAGATCTTGTAGTTGCAGAATATTCTGGTGACAATGCCATTTACAGGGCAGTTATTAAGAAAATTTTGCCAGGAAATTCTTTTGAAGTAGAATTTATTGACTATGGTAACTCTGCAATAGTAAACACATCTAAAATTTACGAACTTCAGAGGGAATTTTTAACTGTTCCTCAGCTAGGAATCCATGCTTTTCTTAGTGGAGTAAAATGGAATGAGCCTGATGAAATATGGGATGACAAAACTGTGGATTATTTTACTTCGAAAGTACATAACAAAACAGTTTATTGTGAATTTTTGAAAAAGCATGATCAGAAATGGGAAGTAAATATGATTTGTGATGAAAAATGTGTCATTAATGAACTACTGAAATGGAAAGCATGTTCAAAACTGCAGAAGTCAGCATTGCAGATGCCTCAGGTTCTCTCTCAAAAGGTGAGGCCAGGTGATAATGAAATGAAGAAAGGAAAATCAAATGAGTCTGAAGGTTCTATGAATTCAAACCAACAGCTGTTTAAAATTCCTTTGGAAGAATTCAAACTTGGACAACTTGAAAAAGCTGAAATGCTTAATGTTTCAAAAAGTGGAAGATTTTATGTGAAGTTATCCAAAAATAAAAAAATTTTATCAGATTTAATAGTATTAATTACGAAAGAAGAAAAAAAATCCCCTTTTTTATCAATGGAAAGTATTGAAAAAGGTTTAGAATGCTTGGCAAAATCTAAAAATACCTTGAAATGGCATCGATCAAAAGTAGAAGAAAAGTATGTTGATGATAAAGTACTTGTTTTTTTAGTAGATTGTGGTATCTATGAAATAGTACCTGTATGTAATACCAAGCTGCTTAGTAATGAAATAAGAAACATTCCTAGACAAGCTGTACCTTGTAAATGGATTTGGTTTGAAAATTCTAAGAACATATCATTTGAGTGCTTATTTGCTGATTTGGAAATAAATATTCTTTTCCTGAAATATTTAGATGCTGTTTGGGAAGTAGAAATTTTGGTAGATGACCTGTTACTTTTGGAATACTTAAATTTGAATACAGTTCCTGTTGAAGAAAACAAACTTAGACTTGCAGAAATTGTTTACAACATTGAATCTAAGACTCCTGTATCATCATGCACAATAAAATCATTTACTTGGGTTCAATTCCAAAATGATAGGCAGTATTCTGGTATTGCAACTGCTGTTTCTGATCCATCAGACTTCAGTATTCAGTTAGAAGATTTCTTTGACATAATGAAATACCTTTTTATGTTGCTTTCTGATCTACCAGAGACCTTACAAACATTGCCTCAGGAGTTCATAATTCCCGGTTCTAGTTGTTTGTTCAAATATAAATCGGAAGATCAGTGGAATAGAGTAGAAATTTCTGAAGTCTCACCTCAGTCTTTATGTCTTGTGTTGGTTGACTATGGATTTTCTTTTTATATACGTTATTCAGAAATTATAAATCTTAAAGTTGTTCCTGAGGAACTTTTGAATTTGCCAAGGCTGAGTTATCCATGTATTTTATATGGTATCTTACCTGCTAAAGGAAAACATTGGAGTGAAGAAGCCAAAATCTTTTTTCGAGATTTCCTAAGTAAACCAGACTTAGTTTTTCAGTTTAGGGAATATCATTCTGAAACAAAACTGAAAGTAGATGTCATTCATGAGAAAAACAATTTGGCAGATATATTAGTTGCATCTGGTCTCGCAACTTATTCTAAAGATTCACCTCATCTTGATGCAATTACTGCTACTGAATCTGCTAAAAATCCAATATAAATTACAAAGTAAGCCTATTTTCCCATTGTTAGATCAAAATTGTTACAAAAAACAAAATATAAATTTTACATACACTGAGAAACAAAAGTGTAAACAAATCTACAAAGAGGAAAGATGTCTGTAAGAACCTCTTAAGGAAAATTCGTATTAGTAAAAGATCACATTCTAGAAATTTAACAGTGAGAAAGAAAGTTGGTAGTGGAAAACATTTCCAGAGTACCATTTTGTTTGATACATGTACAACAGCTTCATTTTGGGAACTGCCTGATGGTTTGAAGAACAGCAGTCACGTTGAAGACATTTTTGAAAAACTACCAACTGAAGGAATACAGGAAAATAAGACAATGAACTTGAGAACAGCAGTAAAAACATTGCATGATAATAAAAAAAAACACAGAACACTTAAAAGGTAAACAGACATTTTTATAAAGTAGATTATTTTCTGTAGATTCTTTTTATTTGATTCTTTAAAAGTTTTTCATGTACTAACATCCAAATTGAAAATATGTTGCAGGAAAACTTACTAGAAAATCTGGATAAACGGATGAACTGGAAGTGGCCACTACGATTTTAAAACGTTGCTTCACTATCTTTACATTTTTTGAATGGTGAAGTTTTTAGAATGTAGTGAAAGATTTTAACCACACATGCATGCACACACGCATGACGTTTCACAAATAATTTCAAGGGTTTCATAAAACTCCTAAATGTCTGTAGATCTCATGTTAATAAATCTTGCTATTATTAGTGAGCTTCCTGCGCTTATTTTGAAGAATCATTTTTCTGTTATATATAGTTTTATATCATATGAAATGTCTTTAGGTTTTTTGAGTGTGCTTCTAGCATATTTCTGAACCAGATAAATTTATAAATAAACTGACTAGCATATTTTCTCTTAAGTCTTTTAAATGTCAAACTGATACTAAAATATTGTTAAAATTTTAATATTTTATGCACTACAGTATTGTCTGATTTTGTTTATCCACATTACATTCATTTTCTGTATGGATTAGTTACTGAGGATTTTGTAGGCTGTAAAGAATGTTCCCCGGCAAATGTTTGTTTTGACTTTATAAATAAAATGTATATTATTCCACATTCTGTATTATAACTAATGTCATAACAGGCTATACTCTTTCAGTGAGTGGAAATGTCTTGTTTTTATTGATGTAATGTTAGAAGGTGTTTTATTTGAATTTTACCTAGATGTTTTATAGTGAATTGATAAATGCTTTACAATTGGCCCCCTTTTCTATCTAATTTTTGAATCTTTCCTGATAGCAGTAGTGGTTATGGTAGCGATAGAAACAGCTACCATATTTTGAGTGCTTATTATGCTTCAGGCACTGTCCCAAGAGTCTTATATGTATTATCTCATTTAATGCTCATTACAACTCTACAAAGTATGTTGATATAAAGGTTTAGGAACCTAATAACTAGTATTCCACTTCAAGTTTTAAACCACTTTCAAATAAACCTATTCAGAAGGAGAAAGATAATTCTTAAGCAAAATGTCGCACTTAAACAAAATAAATAAAACCAAAAACAATATTGAAGACTGACTTATATTCATGGAAAAATTGGCTTACCAATAATGAAATAAGGAATTATTTAGACTTACACAGACGGTTATAGGCACAGACAAGAGAATCTTCTTGGGAGGGTACCCATGTAAAACAGCCTGAGGCAGTTCTCCCAAAAAAGAAAAGGAGGAGGAAGAGGCTAATCTAACATATGTCTTTCTCCTTCCAAATGGACCAGTGAGATTGACCTTACTTCTGGAAGGCATAAGTCAGAAGAGCAAAGAGGCTAGGAGTATTATGCTAGGAGAGTGCCCCACCCATGAACCTCCACATGGAAGGAAACATCAGGAGTGGGAAAGAAGCAGTCTCCTCCAAGCTATTATCACCACTTTATGGATGAGTCTCAGGGAAATTAAATATCTTGCCCATGAATTTAAAGTTGCTAAGTAAGGAACTGAGATATTCAACTCAGATTTCTCTGACTGATTTTGTTTGTTATTTATACTGCCTTTTGAAAAGAGTTAGCTTACTTGGGGAAGAGTTTCCTGTAAACTATTGGCACCAAACCATACATTTTGGCTCTTAGGTCCTTTACTATTCCCATACCTGTGTATATGTCTACCTTCTTTTATGTTTTTTTTGGCCATCAAATTCTTTAAGAACCCACTTTGGGTCCCTGCTTCTATCTTATAGCACTCCTAACACACAGTGAATCACTAAGTGAGTTAAAGTAGCTGTTGTAAAAGCAGTTAGAAAACCAAACATTAAATTATACTTCAGAACGTAAATTTGAAGTCATATGTAAGGAAAAAAATCAAGACTTTGTTATGACAAATATAAGAAATATGGTTTCACGGATTAGTAATAAATTTCCATACTTGCTATAATCATAGCCTTAAAACAAAACAAGAAAACGACATTAAAAATAACTGGTTTTTATTGCCTTTACTATCTCAGCTCCTACCACCTCTATTACTCTTCCACTATTATTGCCTGCAGGTACTCTGGGTCTAGAGCAAAGTGATTTTAGTAGTTCCTCTTGGTCTAAGACATCAATATTTGAAAGGGTCTTACGTACTAAAAAAGCATAAAAAAGGGACTCTATTACAGTGGTTCTCAACCTTGGCTTTGCATTGGAATTAACAAAGGAAGCTTTCAAAAAACTCTGACGCCTGGGTCCCTATTAAAAATTAAATATTCTGTTTTAATTGGTCAAGAACTGTGGCTTTACTAATGGGTGTTTAAAGCTCTCCTGGTGATTCTAATGCACAGCTAAGGTTGATAATCACTACTCTAGAGAGGACTGTGGATAACTTCCTGAATTATTTTGTGAGAAAAAATAATTTTAGGCTTTCTGTGTAAAAACTCTTAGAATCTATTCTTCCTGTATTTGAAGTCCAGACTATACCTGATGAGTCACAGTAATTTTGAGCTAAACTTAATTCAGAGTAAATAGTAAAAATATTATCATGTTAGAAATGGCCTAGATGTATATTACGTTTACTTTATCTTGCCCAGGTATTGTTCTAAATGCAGAAGTTGCCACCCTTTACATTTAGAAAATTGGCTTAACTTTCCCATAGTTTCAGCCTATTTTAACATCAGTGTTTAGATATTCAAGGTAATTGTTTTTATCTGTAGACTATTTTCTCCAGAACAAACTTGTTAGTCTTTTTCCAGGGTGTTTTCTCATTTGTTTTTGTTTTTTAAAATCATGTTTGCTTGCCCACATGCTTGTTTTTGCCTGACAGTCCTTGTATAGATTATGAGAACTAGAGAATGTAATAACCCATTCAAAAAAGCACAAGAAATATCTGTTCATTCTTTGCTAATGAGGCAGTGCTTAATGGTAATATGTGCCTATTCTTCTACAGTTGCTTATTTAACTGGAAGTCATCTTTGAAAGAAATCTAGAATGACAGCCCATTTTTAAAGAGGAGTTTTTAATATTTTAAATATGAAGTAACATCTAGACATCCAGAGGAGAATGGCTGATAGACATGTGAAATGTCAGACTGCGTCTTGAGAACACAACACTATTGAGTCATACAGATTTATGACTCGCTTGCATTGGATGGTTATTAAAAATATGGGCACTGAGGCTAACTCCCTGAGTGTGAATATTTGCTTTGTCCCTTATTAGTGATAAAACCATGGGTAAGCTTTTAAACTCTTCTGTGCCTCAGTTTCTTCTTGTGTAAAATGGAGATCATAATAGTAACTACCCCTTTGGGTGGTTGTGAAGATAAATTAAAACATGTAAAGCATTTCAGTGTTGCCTGGTACATAATAAATGCTCACTAACTGTTAGAAATATAATCATCCTGATAAAACTATATTTGTTTTGAAAGTATTTTTGTGAAATCATAAGTTAAAATAATTTTTGGTGCTGCTAAGCAAGAAACTGAACTATATTTAAGGTGAATACACACAGATGTATTTAGTATTAGTATAATGGTTACATTCATCATTAAATTTCTATTCTGAAGATAGGATTTATGAGTAAGAGACGATTTATGAGTAAGAGACAATTATAGTTCCAGATAAAGAATAGAATAGGTTATATATATTTTTTCCATTGTGGACATATATTGCTAAATGAACAAGATGTTTTTAGTTGTCACATAGAATTATATATATATAACATGTTATATAATTATAGTATATGTTATACATATACTATATGTTATATATACTATATGTTATACATATACTATATGTTATACATACTGTATGTATATGTATAACATATATACATATGATGTATAACATAGTATATATATAACTTGTTTACTCTCAGTATTTTTCCTTGTTTACCTTTTATACTGTGACTTAGAAATTGTTAAGTAAAATGAATTGTTAAGTAAAAGTTTATAGTTTATAATAATTTTTAAATGAATAAGTCTTGAGTAACTCTTAATGAGACCCATAATGCTTTGAAGATTATATTACAATATACTCATGATTTTTTGTTTTTCAGTAGAAGAAAATGGAAGCACAGATCACTTATGCATTAGTTTGGTAACAAATGATATATAGGATACCCAGTAATTACTATCTTGGTTTAGACACTGTAGAGCTGGAGTAAAGGTGTTAAGCATAGTACGACAACTTCCAATGTTAAATCATGTTAAATGAATCTAGATTTTTCAGATTTTTTTCCCCAGGAGACCATGTTAGATTGTTAGATTGCTGTAGAAATTTTCTGTGACCTAGGACATGATGCGTTGATTTTAAAAAGATTATTACTTAGTAAATGTGGTTCACCAGTGTGAGATGGCTTGAAAATATTTTATTTGATGAACTCTTCTTCTTTGTATGTGGTTTCAAAGGCAATAAATACCATTTTACCTTCTGATACTTTTCACATGTCTTCCCTGTCCTTTGTTTCAGTTCCTACTTTGTTGAGTTATAATTGCAACTGTGGTTAGTATATAGAGAGTTAGTGCTACCATTTCCCTGGAAAATAGAAGTGCTTGTAAGAGTGGCATTTATTAAAAGGAAATAGAGGAAAAATCAGACATAATCTCTTCTTTCCTTGTGTTTAGCTCATAATATGATAATTTTCTATCATTTTATTTTTAGCAATATTTAATTTTAGTTGGGTTTTATATTTTTGGTTATTAGGTTATTAGCTACTTGGAGATATTTGTGATATTCAAGAACAGTACGTCCAGCAGGGAAGGGGAATCAATATTTTGTCATGCATTTACTATTGAATTGGAATTTATTTTGCAAGTAAATATTAATTGAGCAAGTTCAGGGTATTATTTTGATGCAAAGATAGAACCATAAAATTATACAAGTGCACTGAAGAGTTAGAGTAAGCCAAACAATTCTGAAGAACTTGATATGGGGTGGTTTAAAGAATATTTGCAAAAATTTAGAAAATTCCTAAGCAAGCTAGGGACAATCAAGTGTGTTAATATCTGTATGTCTGTATTGAGCATGTTGATATTGTCATTTCTTTGATGTTGGGAAATAATTTCCAGAAACACTGTAAGTTTGAATTTGGTATCCTGAAAGTTAAAGTTTACTTAAGAGTTGGAAACTTTATGTATGTATTTTTTCAAACAAGTTCATCTCTAGTTTGTGGTTATTTGAGAACAAACAATGTAACATTTACTTTTTGTAACCTAAACTCTCTGAACACTTTTGTGTCATTCCCTCTCCCCTAAGCCCTGCCAGATCTTGAAGATTATTTCCACAATTATGAAGAATATCTCCTTTGGAAAAGAATTCATTTTACACAACAACTTCTTCTTTTTTTTTTTTTGACAAAGTCTTGCTCTGTCACCCAGGCTGGAGTGTAATGGTGCTTGGCTAATTTTGTATTTTTAGGAGAGACGGGGTTTCACCGTGTTGGTCAGGCTGGTCTTGAACTCCTGACCTAAGGTGATTCACCCACCTCGGCCTCCCAAAGTGCTGGGATTACAGGCATGAGCCACTGGGCCGGGGCTCCACATTTTACAGAACTTCTATAGCTGTTGTATCACCGGGGTGCTTTTGTTGTTTAGTCACCATAAAATATGGCAAAGTTAATGATTTTGGTTTATTAAAAAGAAAATTAGTTTGAATGTCAAAGAAAAGGCATTATGATGCCTTTTTTTTTTTGGAGGGGGGCACCAATTTAATCAGGAAGGACCAATCATTTGCCTTTAGTTTTCAGAGTTCCCTTAACTTCAGTTATGTCTTAATGTATAATATTTTATATTTGGAAATGATAAAAATATACAAACTAGAAAATTTATTTGCAGCATTTAAATTATTAAATCCTGCAGAAAAAGATATTTTGACAAGTCTACATTTCAGTTAAAATGTTTTTTTTTTTTTTTGAGATGGTGTCTCACTCTGTCGCCCAGGCTGGAGTGCAGTGGCGTGATCTCGGCTCACTGCAACCTCCTCCTCCTGGTTTCAAGATATTCTCCTGCCTCAGCCTCCCGAGTAGCTGGGACTACAGGCACCCACCACCATGCCCGGCTAATTTTTGTATTTTTAGTAGAGACGGAGTTTCACCATATTGGCCAGGCTGATCTCGAACTCCTGACCTTGTGATCTGCCCGCCTCGGCCTCCCAAAGTGCTGGGATTACAGGCGTGAGCCACACCGTGCCCGGCCATTTCACTTAATTTTAATTGATATTTTTCCTATTTGGACAGAAGACCAATAAAGAAAATAGCTGAAGATATGTTTGAAACTAGGTTGCCTTCTTTTAAGATAGTTTATAATTTAAAACTAGCTTTTTTGTTTTATTTTTTATTTTGAAAGTATTATTTTTCAGCCTGTTATTTTATTATACTGTATAATTATAACTAGATGTGTAGTAATAGTGTAGTTTTATTCAGAGTACTTTCAAATAAAAACAAAAAGTAGTGTTTTTATCTTAGTATTTATATTTTCTTAGGATTAAGTTTTATTTTATAGGTTATAGTCAACATTGGAATAATGCTTTTTTTCTACCCTAAAACATTTGTGTTAATTTAAGTTAGTAAGATCTGTTATTTTATAAATGTTGGCAACAGATTTTTCTTTAAAAATTTGGAGAACAGTAGAACATTTAAGTTACTACATAAAATATTTCAAAGCTTAGGATTGTTAAATCTTTTAAATTTTTTCCTTCCTAATTTTATTCTATATAAAGAATGAGCTTTCAATCTAATGTAAAATGGCTTTCAACTTAGAAAAAAAGTGATTCGTTAGTAAACTGGTTAAGATTATTGATATTTTTAAAAATAACATTCACATATACATTTTCAAGGCTGTATATTGATGTGAAATAAAACACTCAGGTCAAAAACTGTTAAATAAAGACAAATTATTCAGATATTTGTATTTTGGTAGCATAATTATTGTGATTTTAAATCTTCTCCATGAGCGCCTGAGTAGGTTAAATTTCAGAGGCTCTGAACTTTTTTTGTTTTTACTTTTTAAATCTGTGTATCTTAATATCAGCTTAACTTTTTTGATTTTTAGAGGAATATTGAATTCTAATATCACTTTTTAAGCAGTTGTGATATTGTTGCTATTATTTGTGTATATCCAAGGGACCTTTTTTTTGGTTTTGTATATTGATTATTTTGAGTTAAAATTTTTTCCTCAGTAAGTGTATATTCCTAAAGTCTGAAATTATGTATGTGTTTTTGATATTATAATATGAATTTCTTGTGATGAAATACTGAATTCACTTTAAAATTTTTCTTGACCAAAGATAATCATTACACATTTTTTCTGTTCCCAAAACATATGAGTTCTTTTTTGTTCTTTCTTTATTCTTTCACTTTTGTTTATTTTTAATTTTAATTATATGTTCCAGGGTACATGTGCAGGATGTGCACTTTCGTTACATAGGTAAACATGTGCCATGGTGGTTTGCTGCCCCTATCAACCCATTACCTAGGTATTAAGCCCCAGCATGCATTAGCTATTTTTCCCAATGCCCTCCCTTCCCCCACCCCACCCCCCAACAGGACCCCATGTATTTGTTCCCCTCCCTGTGTCCATGTGTTCTCATTGGTCAGCTCCCACGTATAAGTGAGGACATGTAGTGTTTGTTTTTCTGTTCCTGCCTTAGTTTGCTGAGGATAATGGCTTCCAGCTCCATCCATGTCCCTACAAAGGACATGATGTCATTCCTTCTTTATGGCTGCATAGTATTCCATGGTGTATATGTACCACATTTTATTTATCCAGTCTATCATTGATGGGCATTTGGGTTGATTCCATGTCTTTGCTAATGTGAATAGTGCCGCAGTGAACATATGCATGCATGTATCTTTGTAATATAATGATTTATATTCCTTTGGGTATGTGCCCAGTAATGGGATTGCTGGGTCAGGTGGTATTTCTGGTTCTAGATCTTTAAGGAATCGCTGCACTCTCTTCCACAATGGTGGAACTAATTGACATTCCCAGGAACAGTGTAAAAGTGTTCCTATTTATCTGCAAACTCACCAGCATTTGTTGTTTCTTGACTTTTTAATAATCATCATTCTGACTGGTGTGAGACAGTATCTCATTGTGGTTTTGATTTGCATTTCTAATCATTAGTGATGTTGAGCTTTTTTTCATATGTTCGTTGGCTGCATGAATGCCTTTTTTTTTTTTTTTTTGAGACTGAGTCTCGCTGTGTCGCCCAGGCTGGAGTGCTGTGTCGCCCAGGCTGGAGTGCAGTGACGCGATCTCGGCTCACTGCAAGCTCTGCCTCTTGGGTTCACACCGTTCTCCTGCCTCAGCCTCCTGAGTAGCTGGGACTACAGGCACCTGCCACCTCGCCCGGCTAATTTTTTGTATTTTTAGTAGAGACAGGGTTTCACCATGTTAGCCAGGATGGTCTCAGTCTCCTGACCTTGTGATCCACCCGCCTTGGCCTCCCAAAGTGCTGGGATTACAGGCGTGAGCCACTGCGCCCACCTGTGAATGTCTTTTTTTGATTAAGTGTCTGTTCATGTCCTTTTTCCACTTTTTAATGGGGTTGTTTGTTTTTTTCTTGAATATTTAAGTTCCTTATAGATTCTGGCTGTTAGACCTTTGTCAGATAGATAAATTCCAAAAATTTTCTCCAATTCTGTAGGTTGCCTGTTCACTCTGATGATAGTTTCTTTATGTCAGTATCCCTCTGAACACTGATGCAAAAATTCTCAATAAAATACTGGCAAACTGAACACAGCAGCACATCAGAAGGCTTATCCACCATGATCAAATTGGCTTCAATCCTGGGAATCAAGGCTGGTTCAACATACACAAATCAATAAACATAATTCATCACATAACCAGATCTAAAGACAAAAACCACGTGATTATCCCAATAGATGCAGAAAAGGCCTTCAATAAAATTCAGCATCCCTTCATGTTATTAAAAACTCTCAATAAACTAGGTATTGAAGGAACATACCTCAAATTGATAAGAGCCATTTATGACAAGCCCACAGCCAATATACTGAATGGGCAAGAGCTAGAAGCATTCCCCTTGAAAACTGGCAGAAGACGAGGATGCCCTCTCTCATGACTCCTATTCAACATGACATTGGAAGTTCTAGCCAGGGCAATTAGAACAGAGAAAGAAATGAAAGGTATTCAAATAGGAAGAGAGGAAGTCAAATTGTCTTTTTTTGCAGATGACATGATCCTATATCTAGAAAAACCCATTGGCTCAGCCCAAAAGCTTCTTAAGCTGATAAGCAACTTCAGCAAAGTCTGAGGATACAAAATCAATGTGCAAAAGTCGCAAGCATTCCTATAAGGTAAGCAGAGAGCCAAATCATGAATGAACTCCAATTCACAATTGCTACAAAGAGAATAAAATACCTAGGAATACAGCTAACAAGGGAAGTGAAGGACCTCTTCAAAGAGAACTACAAACCACTGCTCAAGGAAATCAGAGAGGACACAAACAAATGGAAAAACAATCCATGCACATGGATAGGAAGAATCAATATCATGAAAATGGCCATACTGCCCAAAGTATGTAGCATTATAGATTAAATGCTATTTCCATTAAACTACCATTGACATTCTTCACAGATTTAGAATAAACTATTTTAAAATTCACATGGAATGAGAAAAGAGTTCTTATAGCCAAGACAATCCTAAGCAAAAAGAACAAAGCTGGAGGCATCACACTACCAGACTTCAAACTATACAAAAAGGCTACAGTAATCAAAACAGCATGGTACTGGTACAAAAATGGACACACAGACCAATGGAAAAAGAATAGAGAACTCAGAAATAAGACTGCGCATCTACAACCATCTGATCTTCGACAAACCTGACAAAAGCAATGAGGAAAAGATTCTTTAGTAAGTGGTACTGGGAGAACTGGCTAGCCATATGCAGAAAATTGAAACTGGACCCCTACCTTACACCTTATACAAAAATTAACTCAAGATGGATTAAAGACTTAAATGTAAAACCTAAAATTATAAAAACCCTAGTAGAAAATCTAGGCAATACCATTCAGGACATAGGCACGGGTAAAGATTTCATGATGAAATCACCAAAAGCAATTGCAACAGAAGCAAAAATTGACATATGGGCTCTAATTAAACTAAAGAGTTTTTGCACAGCAAAAGAAGGTATCCTTTCACCTTTAAAGGAACATTGGATTATTTTCATGCATCCCTTTTAAAAATTTATTTGGTCTGTAGTTTGTATAATAATTATCTCAATCTTTTTCAGAAATCTCCAATATTAAATTTAATTTTTTTCCTATATATAACTTTTAGAATGATTTTTTTCAGTATGGATTTTATAATGGAACTTAAGAATATGTAAGATTAGAATAGTGGTTCCCCTTTGGCTATATAATACATTAACAGTTCAGTGTGAAATCTAGGTAATATCTTCAATTTATTTTCTTTTCTCAATACTATTCATATTGTTTTTCCTTAGCACAGTGTTTATTTCTGTTTTTATGTCTTTACACATACTGATATCTTCTCCTTCCTACCAAATTATCCTCTTTTATAATCTTGTCACATTCTCTTCTAAGGTGCATTCATTCATCAAACATTTCAGAAGTGACCATATTAAATATTGGAGATACAAAAATGAGTAAGTGAAATTCCAGTTCTAAGATATTCCCAGTACAGTGGTGGAAACAAATAATCAGTTATATTAAGGTGTACTTTGATATGTAGCAAAGGTATATAATAGGTGTTCTGGATGGAGGACAGTGTGCCAAACTTCCTAGGATTGAGGAAACAGTTGAAAAGGAGTCTCAAAAATATGACCTGTGAGCCTGACTCTTGAAAGATAAGTGGTACAATTTTCTAGGGAACTTAGGCAAACACCTAAGAAAAGAAATTATAGAAGGTGTAGTACAGCCAAGCAAAGTTGACACATTACAAACACACTACTTTTGTTTGAAAATATTATTTCATCTGTATATTTGAATAATAGTTGCAATAGATACACAATTAGAAATGCAGAGTTATTTTCCCTCAGCATTGGAAAATGTGGTTCCATGCTGTTTTGACTTCCACTTTTGATCCTGAGAAGTCTCCTGTCTGCTTAGCAATAATTCATTTTCCTTATGAGTAGACTTTTCCTTCCTGGTCCTGTACATCTTCACGTTGTATTTGGTGTTTCACACCTAACACATTATTTATTAATGTTGTTAATTATGTTTATCCTGCTTGAGACTCTGAAATTCCTGAATCTAAAGATTGGTCTTTTTGTCCATTCTGGGATATTCTTAGCTGTTATATCTTTGTGGATTCTTGCCTATTATATTTTTCTTTGTACAGCTGTTTTGATACATGTGAATTATTATTATTATTATTATACTATGACTCAACATATTTTCCATATATTAGTCTCTCTGCATTGCATTCTGGGTAATCTCCTTACCCTGTCTCCCAAGTTAACTCTTCAGTAGTATTTAATTTGCAGTTTATTTTGAGTTACTAATTTTAATTATAGTTTTCCACTCTAGAAGTACTATTCCTTTTATTTTCATATTTGCTTGCTCATTTTTATTCTCTTCTGTTCTGTCCCAATTTCAGTGTCTTGTTTTATTTAACATATTAAGAATACTTAGTTTATACATGTATTTTATAATAGCGGTATATACACTCATTGTAGATACATATTTGCAGTTTAATAATTCTGTGAATTATTTTTTAGTTATTATACCTTATTTACCCATATGTTTTATGATTTTATTGTTAACTTGTGTTTCTTGATACTTTAACTGTGGAAATTCTTTAAGACCTGTGTTTAAAGTACTTCCTGCAATTGGAATTTGCAGGTTCTTTTGCCAAGTGCCTTGAGGGCACTTTCAGACCCAACCCCTGGCTTAGAGGTTTTTCTTGTGTTCAGGTAGTATAAATTCGAGCTGCCAATGCTTAAGGTTAGGAAAGCTTCAGAAAGTTTTTTTTTGTTTGTTTGTTTTTGTTTTTTTTTTAGTTTTACTTAAAGTCAAAATGCTGAAACATGTAAATAAGCCATTTTGTCTCGCAGTAGGTTGCTTTTTATTTCAGTCACTGGGATATCACTTTTGGAATCAGGAGTTATGCAAGAGTGTCTGATCAAACTTTTTACCCTGCTTGATTATCATTCAGTTTACTACTTTGCTTGTATTTACATTTGTACTTTTGAAACACAGGTTTAAGCGCTTTGGGTATCAGGAGCTGCATTCTAGCACTTGTTTACCTCTGTGGATTAGGCATTGATTTCTTAGATATGACTAAAATCACAAGTGACAAAACTGGACTTCTCAAAGTTCAAAAGTTTTGTTTCAAAGGACACCATCAAGAAAGTGAAAAGACTACCTACAGAATGGGGAAAATATTTGCAAACTATATAATAATTAACTAGTATCTACAATATATAGTGAACCTTTAGAACTCAACAGTTAAAAAGACAACCCATTTTAAAAATGGGGAAAGGTTTTGTATAGCAGCTTCTCTCAAGAAAATACACAGTAAACCCATGAAAAGGTGCTCACCATCACTAGCAACTACAGAAATGCAAAAACACAACTAAATAGCACTTGATATCCAGTGGATTGGCAAAAAAAAGTTATAGATAACAAGTACTGATGTGGATGCAGAGAAATTGGAACTTTCATACATTGCTAGTGGGATTGTAAAATCATGCATCTACTTTGGAACACAGTTTGATAGTTCCTCAAAATGTTAATTAAGATTGAGTTGATACATGACCCAGCAATTGCATTTCCTGGGTATACACTTAATTTAAAAAATATATCTACACAAAAAATTGTGCACAAAATTTTATGGTAGCATATTCAGAATAGCCAAAAATAGAATCAAATCAAATGTCCCTTAATGGAAGAGTTTATAAACAAAGTTGATATATTCATGCAATGGGATATTATTCAGCAAAAGAAACAAAAATCGGTTCAGGGAGTCTTCAAAAATTCATAGAAAATGCATATTATGAAAAATCTATGCATGGATTTCAAAAAAATTTTTTACACCAAAATAAACTAGTATTAACTTGATATTATATATCTGAACAGGATCTAGTTTGAGGCACTACAAAAGATAAGACATCAGTTTGAAAAGCAGAACAAGATGCATTCTGCTAAAATTGAAGCAAGAGTAAACATCAAATTTGTGATGACGCTTGGGTGGAAGAATGGCAAAATCATTGATCCTTTATGAAAAGTTTATGGGGACAATGCTTTATAGAAATCAGCAGTTTATAAATGGATAACTCTTTTTAAGAAGGAATGAGATGATGTTGAACATGAAAACTGCAGCAGCAGATCTCCACATCAATTTGCAAGGAAAAAGTTACTCTTGTTCATGACTTAATTGAAGAGGACCCATGATTAATGGCACAGATAGTAGCCACAGCTATAGACATTTCGACTGGTTCAACGTACACAATTCTGACTGAAAAATTAAAGTTGGGGTAACTTTCCACTTGATGGGTCCCAAACCCATTGCACACAAATCAGCTGAAGACAAAAGCTGAGCTTTCAATGGAAATTTTAAACAACTGGGCTCAAGATCCTGAAACAGTTATTCGAAGAATTGAAACATGGGTTTACAAGTATGACCCTGTGACAAAACACAATTAAAGCAATGGCTACCAAGAGTGGAAGTGGTCCGGTCAAGGCAAATCGGACCAATCAAGGGCAAAGGTCATGATAACAGATTTTTGGGATCTAAGGGAATTTTATTTTATTTTATTTTCTGGCAGGCCAAAGGATAATGACATCTGCTTACTTACTATGAGAATGTTTTGAGAATGTTAGCCGAAGCTTTAGCAGAAAAATGCCCAGGAGAGCTTTACCAGAGAGTCCTTCTCCACCCTAACAATGCTTCTGCTCATTCCTCTTGTCAAGCAAAAGCAATTCTGAAAGACTTTCAGTGTGCAGTCATTCATCCACCTTACTGTCGTGGTTTGTCTCCTTCTGACTTCTTGTTTTGTAATCTAAAAAAAATCTTTAATGGGCACCCATTTTTCTTCAGTTAATAAATGGATAACTGCATTTGATGCAGTAAAAATGACTGCATTGATGTGGTTAAATTCCAAGCACCCCCAGTTCTTTAGGGATGGACGAAATGTCTGGTATCATTGCTTGCAAAAGTACCTTGAACTGGATGGAGCTTACATCGAGAAGTGAAGTTACATATTTTTATTTGTCATTTTAATCCAATTTTCCCATAAACCTTTTGAAGTCCCTTTGTACATGCTATGCCATGAATGAATCTCTAAAACCTGATGCTAAGTAAAAGAAGCTAGTTACAAAAGGTCACATATTGAATGATTAGATTTAGATGAAATGTTCAAATTAGGCAAATTCTTAGAAAGCAGATTGATTAGTGGTTGCCAATGCCTGTGGGGAGATGAGGATGGGAAGTGACTATTAATGAGTGTGAGGTTTCTCTTTGGGGCAGTGAAAATATTCTCAAGTTAAATAATTTTGGTAGTTTATCAACTTTGTGAATATACTGAAAATCAATGAATTGTGTACTCTTAAAGGGTGAATTTTATGGCAGGTGAATGACAGTAAAGGGGTTATTAAAAATTACATGTATTATACTATGAATTCACCTAAGACTAAAGATGAAAAGAAGAATGTAATGAAAAATTATCTAATAGAGGGATTTTGAAATTAACTAAATGGAATAAGATCTAAAACCTCAAAGAAAACAAACAAACCAAAAGAACAGGCCTGGGAAGGGGAAAATAGCCATTCCTTTGACAGTATCCTCAGCCTTCTATTCATAATATTATTATTAGATGTGTAATAATGTTGATGTGTAACATATTTTTTACATTAACTGTTTAAGAATGTAACAAAGTGGAAAACACAAAAATACACATTTTGAGGGTTTATTTTAGATCGTACACCTGTGTAACCACCAACATAGTTCAGTAATAGAACAGTGCTAAGACTACAGGAGCTCTTTTTCTTTGCCTCAAATATTTATGCCCTCCTCTCCAAATGAACTGCTATTTTGACTTTTGTAGTAATTCCTTTCTTTAAAATTTTTTTTTATCACTGAATCTTACCAACAACAAAAAAATAATGTTGCCTTTTTTTGGGGTAATGCCTGTATATGGAATTTCTGATAGGCATATATATGTGGTCTTTTTTTCACAAATTTTTATATATGTGAAATACATCTATGTTTTTGTGTGTAGCTGTGATTCATTAATTTTCATTTCTGAATAACACTTCATTATAAAGTATTTCTACTTTTGATGACATTTATTTCCAATTTTCATCTATTGCAAATACATATAGGAACTACTGTTTACCATTTTATGACTATATATATGATTTCTGTTGGGTATTGCTGGGTCCCATTGCTAGAACTGCTGGGTCATTGACTGTACAAATTTTGTACCTTGTAGAGTGGATTTCCCAGAAAAAAAAAATTGAGGCAAGATCTTGGATGCAGTTACTTTATTTGGGAGCAGGAAGAAGGCAGCAGGGGAGCACAACACGGGAGGAGGAAAACTAACATGGGGTGCATTATTGAGGTCGTTGTTAGGTGCAATGGGAGCTCAATTTCTAAGGTGTCAGAATGAATACCAGAATTGCCCATCTGAAGGATGGGAGTTGGAGCAGGTTCTGTAGTGTTAGAGAAGGTCCTCAGACAGAAGATGGAAAGACACACTGCTCATGCTTGAGGTGAATTGCCATTACAGCACTAGAAAGTTTCTGGGCTTGTGGGATACCACTGTTATGACAGAAATTAGAGTTACACCGAAGTCATTTGTCAGGGAACTAGTGGCAATTGCTTCAGCCCATTCTTTAAGCTGCTCACATCTGCCTTGCCAATACATTAAGTCCGATCTGTCCTTTAACTCTTCAAGTAGATGACTAATTACAGTCTCCGGAAGGGTTAGTGGAACATAATAGACTCCCCTTGGTTGAAATTGTTTTCAAGTTTTTAATTTATATTCATCATCTCCTGTTTTCTCTACTATTTTCGGTTTCCTGTACCTTTGGCCAGCATTTTGGCTGCTCTGGACCCATTAGGTTGCTACACTTGCCTATTCACTATTGTCATCAGGCATGGAAGTACCAAAAGACATCAGTGAATCCTCTGAGTTCCAGGCATAGTTGTCTCTGGCTTCATATTTAGTAGCAAGTGTAGCTCCCCATGATACTTGAAATAATTCTCCTGTGCCAATATTATGACTAGTTTAGTTGTCTTCTGATTTATCAGCATGAGGTATGAAAGAGATTAGGCAGCAATCATAGTTTCAGGCTTGGAAAAATTGTATTATGTCCCTTGGTGGAATTATCATACCCTTTCCACCCAAGAAACAAGTTCCTATATTCTTGTAGACCCTGAGGTTGTAGGGATGGAAATAATATTTTGAGGATGAGTCACTAAAGAGAGGGTTAGAGGGGCTATTCCTACTTAATACCACTTGGTTTAGGCCCTGTGTGTTCCAGCCATTGGGTACAACACCCCATACGTTGGCCATTGTTTTAGTACTTTGACCCTAGAGTGTTTTTGCTTATCTGGAGGACGCACTGAACCTTTAATAGGTCATTCTACCATTGTGTTAGACTGTGGCAGTTAATGCAATATGTGGTGAGATGAGTAGTTGCCACAGTTGTGCACTTGTTATATCTCTTTTATTTTATTATTTTTTTAGACAGAGTTTCGCTCTTGTTGCCCAGGCTGGAGTGCAATGGTGCGATCTTGACTCACCACAACCTCCGCCTCCTGGATTCAGGTGATTCTCCTGTCTCAGCCTCCTGAGTAGCTGAGATTACAGGCATGCACCACCATGCCTAGCTAATTTTTGTATTTTTAGTAGAGACGAGGTTTCTCCATGTTGGTCAGGCTGGTCTCAAACTCCTGACCTCAGGTGATACACCCGCCTCAGCCTCACAAAGTGCTGGGATTATAGGCGTGAGCCACTGCGCCGGCCTGTTGTATCTCTTTAACATAAAATGGGTCTTTGTATCTGAGGTGATGATGCTATATGAGATCTTTTGTTAGTAACTAAGTTGTAAGTTCTTACATTGTGGGGCTGACAGACTTACTATAAGCCAAGGAAGTTAACCCACATTCAAAAGTAGGTACCAGTTCTGTTAAGGATAGTCATTACTGTCTCCAGCATAGAATGAATTCAGGGTGACATATTTATCACCAAGTTTCTGGTTATTCTTGTTGAGAGATGCTAACACAGTGAGGGTTCATCATGGCTCTCTTCTGCTGACAAAAGTATCTGCAATAGGGGTTGTTACCTATGACTTGGTGAGAAGCAGCCACATACTGCACTCATTGATAATGTCCATCTCTTCCACCATGTTGCTATTCATGGACCATTTGTACACAGACTAATATTATGAGATCTTTGGGGTGTCACTTTTCTGGCTGGAAACCTGTGGCCAGTGGCACCTTTGCCTGAGGTTTGCTCAGGCCCACTGGGCTTGTTTCCATCAGGCTTTGCTCAGCTCATGCTGCCGGCCTGGATCCCATGGCTCCAAGGGAGACTGGAGTCAGATGTGGAGTGGTGACGGATGTGTGAGCAAACATGGGGTCTGGCCACTGCACAGTCAGACACACCAGCCACTGCTGCAGGGCAGGCAACTCTAGGTGCCGGCATGGGTGCCAGCTCTCCGCAAGTCTGCAGCTGGACCAGGCATACTGCAAGCAGCTTCCCCGGCTGGCACTGGGGAATGCAGTGGTACCCAGAAACATGAAGACACGAGGAACCACAGGGCCACAAAGAGGGAGTCATAGCTCTGGCTTGGGAAGCTCCCAGGTCTGGGCTCCCCAAAGGGCCGCAGCTCTTCTCTTCTTTTTTTTTTTTTTTTTTGCCTGCAACATGGCAAAAAGGGGCATGTTTCAGCCCTGTTTGTATTACAGCAGCTCTTTCAGTCTTGCGACTCAGCAGGTCCTGAGTTCTTGTCCTGTGACCAGGAAGAATGAGGTACTCAGAGCAGCGGAGTGTAAGCAAGATGAAGAGGAGCTTTATTGATCAATAGAACATCTCAGGAAAGCCCTGCAGTGGGCAGCTCCTCTCTGTAGCCAGGGTGTCCCAATGAGTGTTCAGCTCCTAGCAGAGTGGGTAGCTCCTCTCTGTAGGCAGGTCATCCCAACAAGTGTTCAGTTCTCGGAAGAGAGAGGATAGCTGCTTTCTGCAGCTGGTTGTCCCAAGTGTTTAGCTATCAGCAGAGAGGGTAGCTCCTCTCTGTAGCTGGTTGTCCTATCATCTGCAGCTGTTGGCAGAGAGTAGGCCCCAGAGTGGGTGGCTCCTCTCTGCAGGCAGGTTGTTCCGTCGTTTGCAGCTCTCAGCAAGGAGGATAGCTACTCTGCAGCTGGTTGTCCCATTGGCTGTCCATCCTCTGCTCTGCTCTGGCTGAGCTCAGGGCTTTTATAGGACTCAGAGGGGAGGAAGTGCGTGCTTATTGGTTCATGGGCAGCCATGGGTGGGCCCAGAAAAGGCACCACAAATCCCTACTCCAGTCCATGGGACTGGCAGCTTGGCCCCCAGCCTTCAGGCCCTCCCTGGCCTGAAGATGGGGCCTTATCAGGGACCTCCTTCCTTCTGCCCAGGAGCCCATCTGCCTACTGCCACTATCCATGGCACTGAGGCTGCTTGTGCCAAGGGGCACCTGCAGGCCAGCGTTGAGCCACCCTCAGCCCCTCCCTCAGCTTTCCCCCTGTGCTTGTTGGCGCCCAAGGTCCAGAGGGGGCCGAGGTGGTAGGAGGCTGGCATGTCAGTGCTTCCCTGAGCATGCCCACACCTGGCCAGGGTATGATAGCATGGGGGCTCAGCTCCAACTTTGCTCTGACATTGCAGTGGGCAGCTGCAGCTGCACCTGGAAGGGTGGGGCTGCTACTTACTTCTTGCTCCCACTGGCTCTGTGGAGTACGCAGCCCCAGCTTCACCCCCTCACAGCCTGGGGTAGAGGTTCCAAGTCCTCGCTGGGCCAGGCCGGTGTCCAGGGCAGGGGCAGCATCTCCACGAGGTCCCCCCATGGCCTCAGTGCTCAAGGGTTCCCAGAGCTCCTCCTGTAAAGGCTCACGGCCCTGCCCAGGGGGGCACCTCTCTATTAGTCTGTTCTCATGCTGCCAATAAGGCATACATACCCAAGAATGGGTAATTTATAAAGGAAAGAGGTTTAATTGACTCAGAGTTTCACATGGCTAGGGACGCCTCACAATCATGGCGGAAGGCGAATGAGGAGCAAAGTCACATCTTACATGGTGGCAGGCAAGAGTGTGTGCAGGGGAACTCCCCTTTATAAAACCATCAGATCTCATGAGACTTAATTCACTATCATGAGAACAGCATGGGAAATACCTGACCCCATGATTCAATTACCTCCCACCAGGTCCCCCCAGTGAAATTGTGGGAATTATGGGAACTGAAATTCAAGATGAGATTTGAGTGGGGATGCAGCCAAACCATATTAGCCTCCTCTAATGGATTGCGGCCTGCCTTGCTGTTTGGAGTGTCAGGCCCAGCAATCACCCAGATGTGGGGTGGACCCCTGGGACATGGCCCCGGGTGGTCCTGGGCAGAGCCTCCCCTGAGGCACAGGAGCCTCACAGGGTGGCTGCGGTGACTGCACCGCTGACTGGGTCCCTGAGGTAGGCACTGCTCCCACTTCCCGTCCTGGGCCCACGAAACAAGGCCCCAGCCCCACCTCCTGCCTGAACCCTCCCCATAGCAGTGGTGGCCAGTGTCCAGAGCATGGGGGCTCTGGACCTGGGGGTGGGTCCTACCTGGCTGCACTAGGGTGGGGGCAGTGCATTTGGCTGCCTTGGGGACGTGGGGCACAGTGGACCCACCACCGCCATTGCTGTTCCCACAGGCACTTCTGCCGCCACCACCACCTCCCGCACCTCCCTGCTGCAGACAGCCCACCACTGCCATCACTGACATGGCTGAGAACAGAGGCTCTATAACACCCACCCAATGGGTGGTCTCGTCACCTGGTTGTCACCTGGTTTTTGAGTATCTTTTCTGTGGTGGATACCTTATGATGAGCATTAGTATGAATCAAAAAAAGATTTACATACTCTGTGGCCATTACCACTGGTCCATTCAAATGCCTCTTCTCCAGATTTTCTTGTCTCTAATCTTGCAGACTTGTTCCTCCTGAGCCCTGACCAACCACTTTAGCCAGTTGCCACTGTCTGTCTGGCAGTCTGAAACCTACCTCAGGTTTCTTTTATTTCCATTCAAAAAGGATGTGGGTTCTGCCCGTAGGAAAAGTTTCTTCTCATTGTTTTTCATGAATGCTTCTGAATTGAGCTATAGTTTAGCAGTAGTTCATATTGGCTGGAGATGACGTTGATTTGACCAATTTATGGAACAGGCTTCCCCTTCCCCTCCCCGCCCTTAAATTGTCTGTCAGGTGATCCTAGGAAATCCTTCCAGGAAGACAAAAGAGAAGTGTGTGATTTTTGAGTGTCTGAATGTCATATCAATTTTAGATTCCTGGGTTAAATCCCACTTAGATGTGCTATATAATCTTGTTAATATCTTGCTGAATTTGGTGCTAATATTTTGTTAAGGAATTTTGCATCTGTATTTATAAGTAATACCGGTATATAGATTTATGGTTTTTAAATCATGTCTTTGTCTGGATTTCGTATCAGGATGCCAATGGGTTGGGAAATGACTGAAAACATTTTTGTAGGGTTGGTATTATTTCTTTCTTCAAAATTTAATCGTATTTACCAGTAAAGTAATCTGAACATGGACTTTTCTTTGTGGGAAAATTGTTAATTACTAATTTAAATTTTATCAAGTTATGTAACTATCACTATAAATAAGTTTCAATACATTTTTATCACTGCATTGTCATTCCTGTGTCACATTACTGTTAATCCCTATGTACTGTCTTGCCTCTACCCTCTGCTACAGGAAAATGCTAATATCTGTCTTTAAAGCTTGCTCTTTTCTGAATATTTTATGTAAGTGGAATCACACAGTATATGGTCTCTTCTGTCTGACTCCTTTCACTAAACAAAATTTTTTTGAGATTCATCCATCTCATAGCATCTGTCAATAGTTCATTCCTTTTTATTGCTGAATAATATTCCATTCAGTAAACATATCACATTTCAGTCATTTCTAAGTTTTGGTTTGTGATTATGATTATGATTATTGCTGCTAGAAACATATGTATGCAAGCCATTAGTAGATACTGTTGGTACAGTAAGAATGAAGAGACTTGGTAGTGAGTAAAGTAAGAGTTTCAGTGAAAAAGTTTGTGATGCATTTTTTTTTCTGCCTAGAAGCAAGCTTCCTTGTTTATTTACTTGGTTTTGGGATACTAAGTCATGTGACTGTATCTGAGTTTCTAGATAGTGGATGTGTCACTGTATATTACTTTGCACTGGTTTATTTATAACATTCTGCTTAATTTGCATTTTGTTCTCTCCTACTTGGTTAAAAACTCAATAAATGTAATGATTCTTTCAGTTTGCCTCCATATTTTATACATAATACATGAGATAAATATATATTGATTAATTGAATTTAAAATTTTATCATCTCTTCAAAGGGCGTATTTCATGAGCTTTTAAAAATAATGTGAAAACACTACGGATATCTTAGTAAATAGGGACTATAGGTTCCCTATTTACTAAGGGATTAATTAACCAATATTCCCTTTATTAATAAGGCTTATAGTCTGACTTTTAAGGAACTGTATTTCTCTTTTGGTAATCTGTACTTCTAATTTGAATTTGAATATTGTACAAGTCAAATATACTAAGAGGTAAAGATTGCAGATAAAAGAGCAAATTTTCCCAGCAGTTAAGAAAATGTTTCTATATTTTTTTGGGGTGGTTTTACTGACATCTAGTGGCATTCAGTCCTATATATTTAAGCTTGCTTTATTTCTACTTGTCTTTCCATGACTATTTTATGTTTTAAAACTTAAGGAAAAAGCCAGTTCAGGTGTCTAACGTGAGGATAGCATTTTTTTGAGGATTCATGATATTATGCATATACCTTGTATATTATTTGACATAAATGGATAAATATGACTATGTCATTCATTCCTAAGTGCAGTTTTTTCCTGTACTTTTTCATTTCCTTTATTTGCTTGGATTTCCTTTCCTCCTCCTTTCCTCATTGATATAATCCCTCCCTTGCCCTGAGGTAGGTCATTATAACACTAGAGATTTTCTCCATGTGCATGTAAATCAATGACTGAGTGATTATACGTCTATAAATACATATATACAAGTTACAAATTTGTGTTATTTGTTCTAGAAAAATAAGATCATACATAATTCTTTGCATTTTGCTTTTCTTAGCTTACCTCTTGAAAATCTTTTTAAGATAGGTAATGTAGTTCTATTTGTTCTTTTAAATGTATGCATACTATTTAAAATTGTGGATGTATTTTAATTTTGTTTTCAGTAACTTTTCTATTGGTGACTACTCATCATTAATTTTTTTTTTTTTTGCCACATTGAGGATACTTACATTACACATCCATGCCTATATATCCTTACATAGAGTAACTTTGACTCTTTGAGATAGCTTTTTATCAGTGAGATTGCTGGGTGAAAGAATGTGTTTAATTTTAATAGATGTTATCATATTGCTTTCAAAAACAGCTGAAATATCTTTGAGCAATGTATGAGAATACCTTCCCCACATCACCATTACTAAAATAGAATTTTTGGTATCTTAATTATAAAATAGTGTCACAAATAAAAGAAATATTTTAATATATTCTTTAGATTTATTTCATTTTTTCTTATAGCATGTGTTAAAATTTCCAAGAAAATGATTAATAGTATTGATTGTGAATACTACTCTAGTTACTGATTTAAATTGAAGTGGATTTAGTTTTAGAATATAGGATATTTGCTCTTGGTTTTTAATACATGTTTTTAAAGTTTATATTTAACTAGTTTCCTTCTAATTTTATTCTACTTAGAGTTTTTGTTATGAAGAGCTGCTGAATAGTATTAAATACCTTTTAAGTACTTACTAATATGATCATGCTATTTCTACCTTTCATTTGTTGATATAATCAATTATGTTGATAGATTTCCTAAATCTGAATTATTCTTACATTTCTGGAGTAAATTCTGCTCAGTTTAGATAAAACTCAGCTGTGATCTCATATGGTCCAGTCTTTTAGTAAATTGTTAAATAAAACATACATAAAAGAGAGTGTTTTTCAACATTTATATCCTTTACATAACTAGTATATATTTGATTTTACTGCTCACATTTGTATGGCTGAACAATACATTTTTAAATTTTATCTTGTTAAACTTATAAAATAGAATCCTATTTAGTTCTTCTGGCTTATTCGGTCATTAGTATGTTTTTGAGGTTCATCCACTTTGATGCATGTAGTTATGTCTCATTAATTTTCATTGCTGTATAATACCTTGCTATATGAATATACCACAATTTAGCCATTGAGCTTGATGGGCGTTTGTGTTGTTTCTGATTTTGGTGTTCTACAAATAATGGCATCATAAAATATTTTTAAAATATGCCTTTAGTACAAATGTACAAGAATGTGTCTAAGATGTATTCAAGAACTCAAGCTAAAGTTTATCTTGAGTTCAGATGGATAGGGTTTGTCCATGTTCAATTTTGTGAGTTACTGCAAGACTACTTTACACGTTTTTGAAATTATAATCACACCAGCAGTTTATGAAAATTGCCGTTTCTCCATATTCTCACTATCATTTAATAATTTTTGAAATTTAAATGTTTACTACTTTGGATGCGAAATGAATCACATAGTTTAAAAACTTTATTTTGAAATAATTTTAAAATTATAGAAGTATCGCAAGAATAAAATGATTCCTCTTATTTACCCAGATTCATTGGTTCACCATATTTGCCTTATTTTTTGAATTTGTACGTGAATGTATGCATGTGTGTGTATTACTGTATGTATATATGTAAAATACATATATATACACACACACACATTTATACATGCACATATATATATATATATATATATATATATATATGCACACACATTTTTTTCCTTATCCATTTGAGAGTAAGTACCTACACTATCTCACAACACTTCAGCATGTATGTCCTGTAAATAATGCTTTCTGCATAATGATGCTACATCAATTGAAATAAAGAAATCAACATTGATAACACTCCTACCATCCAATACCTAGAGCTCATTCACATTTGCATTTGACATGGTGGCTATAGGATCAGGTTTCCTCTACTCACTGTGGTGACTATGTTTCCATTGTAGTTTTTATAAACATTTCTTAGATTACAGATTAGAAGAAACTTTGACTTATTGGGAATTTAGATGCTGCTTTTGAAAATTTTCTATTCCTTTCTTTTGTCCTCTCCCTTCCTATTTGGATTCTTGTCTTTTTTTTTTTTTCTATTGATTCTGGATATTTGCAAATATCCTCTAGATTCATTGGTTTTCTTGAATCTGTGTATTGGTATCATTCATAAGTCTGGAACATTCTTACCACAATATCTTTCAATATTCCTCTGCCCCATTCACTTTTGAAAACTTCATTTAGATGTAAATTAGATGTTCTCATTCTCACTTCTTTAAAACTGTATTCTATATATTTTTTAAATTCTTTGTTTCCTGTGTTCTGTTCTGAATAATTTCTATCAGTCTGTCTTCCTGCTCAGCAATTATTTCTTCAGACTTTAAAACCAAGCTATTTAGTTTTTGCCTACAATCTAAAAAATATTTGACTATTTTATGACCACAAAAGTAATCTAGAGTTTTTTTTTTTTCAAAAAAGCTTTATGGTATTACCTTTTACATTTAGATTTAAAATAGATTTTTTAGTATGCTGTGAGGTAGGGGTAAAGATTCATATTTATGTATATGGATAGTCAGTTGTTCAGTACAACTTATTGAAAAGTTTTTCCCTATTGCATGATAGTAAAATGCAATCAACTGACTGCATGTGTGTTGGTGTGTTACCAGATTCTTTTCCATTGATAAGTTTATCTTTTTTTTTTTTTGCAAATACCAAATTGAATTAACACTCTAGCTTTACAATAGATCTTGAAATAACACTTCAATATACATGTAAGAACATGTTCCAGGGATGGATCTTTATGATAATTTAAAAATATATAGCAATAATGAAATTACTCAGAAAGAGAATGCATATATTTAATTTGACTCAGAAGTGTTATATTGCTTTCCAGAATGACTTTACCAATCTATACTCCTCCCAGCAGTGATCATCCTGTATATGTTCACATTTCCACCAACATTTGGCATTGCTCAGCATTCATTTTATTAGTATTAAAGGTATAACCGTGATATAATATTTTAATATTTATTTCTCTTATTAGCATATTTGAGCATACTTTTTATGCTTGTTAGCCTATACTTATCCTTTTCCCATTTTCCTGTTGGTTTTTTAAATCCTTGTTGTGCAGGAATTCCTTATATATTCTAGATTGGAACTCTCTAATAGACATTTCTGTGATGATGAAAACATTTTATTCTGATATGTCTAGTACAGAACCACTAGCCTCACGTAGCTATTGAGCATAATAGCTACTGAAATGGAGAAATTACTTTTTATTATTTTTCAGCATTTTTAGAATTTATTTTTATTTCTGAGATTTTGATGCACCCATCACCAAAGCAGTGTACACTGTACCCAATGTGTAGTCTTTTATTCTTTATCCCCCTCCCACCCTTTCCCCCCAGTCCCCAAAGTCCCATGTATCATTCTTATGACTTTGTATCCTCATAGCTTAGCTCCCACTTATAAGTAAGAACATAGAATGTGTGGTTTTTCATTCCTGAATTACTTCACTTAGAATAATAGTCTCCAATTCCATTTAGGTTGCTGCAAATGCCATTATTTCATTCCTTTTTATGGCTGAGTAGTATTCCATGGGTACATATGTACTGTATTTTCTTTATCCACTAGTTGGTTGATGGGCATTTGGGCTGGTTCCATGTTTTTGCAATTGCAAATTGTGCTGCTATAAACATGCGTGTGCAAGTATCTTTTTTGTGGTTTTGATTTGCATTTATCTGATAATTAGTGATGTTTAGCATCTTTCCATATGCTTGTTGACCATCTGTATATCTTCTTTTGAGAATTGTCTATTCATGTCTTTAGCCCACTTTTTGATGGGATTATTTGTTCTTTTCTTGCTGATTTGTTTGAGTTCTTTGTAGATCTGGATATTAGTCCTTTGTCAGATGTATAGATTGTGAAGATTTTCTCCTACTCTGTGGATTGTCTGTTAGCTCTGCTGATTATTTCTTTTGTTGTGCAAAAGCTTTTTAGTTTAAGTCCCATCTATTTATCTTTGTTTTAGTTGTATTTGCTTTTGGATTCTTGATCATGAAGTCTTTACCTAAGCCAGTGTCAAGAAGGGATTTTCTGAGGTTATCTTCTAGAATTTTTATGGTTTCAGTTCTTAGATTTAAGTCTTTGATCCATCTTGAGTTGATCTTTGTATAAGGTGAGAGATGAGGATCCAGTTTCATTCTTCCAAATGTAGCTTGCCAGATATCCCAGCACCATTTGTTGAATAGCGTGTCATCTCCTTATCTTATGTTTTTGTTTGCTTTGTTGAAGATCAGTTGGCTGTTAAGTATTTGGCTTTATTTCTAGGTTCTCCATTTTGTTCCATTGGTCTATGCACCTATTTTTATACCAGTACCATGCTGTTTTGGTGACTATGGCATTGTAGTATAGTTTGAAGTTGGGTAATGTGATCCCCTGATTTGTTCTTCTTGCTTAGTCTTGCTTTGGCTATGCAGGTTCTTCTTTGTTTCTATATGAATTTTAGGATTGTTTTTTCTAGTTCTGTGAAGAATGATGGTGGTATTTTGATGGGAATTGCATTGAATTTGTAGATTGCTTTTGGCAGTATGGTCATTTTCACAATATTTATTCTACCAATGCATGAGCGTGGGATGTGTTTCCATTTGTTTGTGTTATCTATGAATAAATTACTTTTTAATTTTACTTAATTTAAATTTAAGTAGCCACATGTAGATATTGACTCATAAGTTATAGAATCAGCTCTAGATATTATTCCTCTATAATTCTGGGGCACTGCAAATATCTTCTTTTTATCAGTGGTGTTCAACATGGTACAGAAAGGGGAAAGGACCTGAATAGACATTTCTTGAAAGAAGACATACAAATAGTTGACAGGCATATAAAAAGGTGATTAGCATCACTAATCATCAGGGAAATCAAATCAAACCACAATAAAATATCATCTCATACCTGCTAGAATGTCTATGATCAAAAAGAAAAAAGGTAACAAGTATTGACAAGGATGTGGAGAAAGGGAGACCCTTGTACACTATTGTATAAATTGGTACACCCATTATAGAAAACTATGTAGAGATTCCTCAAAAAATTAAAAATAGAACTAGCTACATTCATCATTCACTTCTTGGTATATAAACAGAAGAAATGAAAATAGTATATTGAAAGGAGATTTGCACTCCCATGTTTATTTGCACAGTTGCCAAGATATGCAAACAACCTAAATGTCCATTGATAAATGAATAAAGAAAATGTGATATATATATACACACACATACACATGTACATATATACACATATGCAATGGAATTCTAGCCAAGCTTTTATAAAGAAGAAAATCTTACCATGGTGAACCTGGAGGACATCATGCTATGTAAAATAAGCCAGACACAGGCAGAAAAATATTGCATGATCTCCCTTTTATGTATGTCTTATTTCATCTTCTGTTGTTATAACAGTATTATAAATTGACTAATTTATAAAGAAAAGTTTATTTAGCTCATGATTTTGGAGACTGGGAAGTCCACGAGCATGACACAGGCATCTTGTGAGGCTCTCCTTGCTGTGTCATAACATGCCAGAGGGCATTGCATGGAGAGAGGGCAAGAGAATGTGCGTCAGCTCAGGTCTCCTTTTATCTTCTGTTAAAGCCACCGTTTCGTCATCAGGACCCCAGCCTGATAATCTTATCAAATTCTGATTACCTCCCAAAGGCCCCACCATCAATCAGTATATGAATTTGGGTATTAAGTTTCAAATGCATGAAATTTGGGGTCACTCAGAAGTCCATAGTCTCATTCGAGACTTCAGACACAACTCATTCTGAATCAAATTTTCCTCCAGTTGTGAGTCTGTGAAATCAAAATAAATTGTCTACATCCAAAATACAATGGTCAGACAGGCATAGGATAGACATTCACATTCTAAAAGGGAGCAACAGGAAAGAAGAAAGGGTAAATAGGTCCCAAGTAAGTCTTGTTGATCTAAAGGAAGAAACTAAGACAACAAATATAATTTTAAAGAGCTTATTTGAGCCAAGGTGAGGACAGCTGCCTGGGAAACACTTCCAATTTGCCTTGGGATGTACTTCATTCAGCCTTTGTTACAAACAGATTTTTAAAGGAAAAGAGGGGTACAAATAATGGCTTAATACAAGGTTGTTAGGAATTATCATTAGTTTGCAAAATGATATTGGTTAGTGATTAGCTATACATTGTTGAACTATATGGTATGAGTTATGGTGTCCAGCATGACTCTTGTCATCCACAAGGATGGCTAAAGAGTAGAAATGAGAGCTCTCTTGGTGATACCACTTTGCAGACTGGGAAGAGATGGTCCCTGGCATGTGCCGAAGGTGCTCTCTGAAGAGAGGAAGGATCGAATGGGTTTTATGCCTCATAGGGCCTGTATCACACAATAGTATCATAATGTTCATCAAGTTTTGGGGAAAAGCTATACATATTTATGAGGGGAGCTGAGCACATGTGCAATGAGTAAACATATATGTAACATACATCCCATGTTCACTTTGGGATGGATTTTAGCATTAAAATGAGATGGAATTTGGCTGTTCATGTTAAAGGTGAGCCATAGGACACAAAGGAAGTTTGGTTGAAACTGGCTTAAGGTCTGCAGTTATCAGAAAAGAATGTTTGTAGGGCTGGTCCTCTGTCCAATCAGAGTTGTAACAGTCTGGGCTCTAAATCAGAGTTAGGAGTAATCTGATAGCTCCTACAGTTATGGAGTTTCGAGCTGTAGAAATTTAGAAATTTGCCATGCCAGCTGGGTCCTGAACCCTCCATCCATAGGTAGCTTTGTCCTTAACCTTAGGGTCCATCTTCATTGATAAAGGGGCTATTTTTATCTCACATTCTTTGAAGCAGCCCCTACTCCACATTTCCATTTGGCATTGGCCTTGTAGCACTTTGCCCCTGCAACAAGTCTCTATCTGGGCCTCCAGGCTGTCTGTGACATCCTTTGAAATCTAGGTGGAGAAAGCCATGCCCCTACAGCTTTTGCATTCTGTGCATCTGCAGAATTACCACCATGTGGACAATGCCAAGGTTTATGGCTTGTTCTTTCTGGAGTGGCAGGTCAAGTTGCACCTGGGGCCACTTGCGCCACAGCTCAATGACTTAAAAACTGAATTTATAATGAAAAGAGAAGCAGAGTGGAAAGATTTGGAAAACTCTCAGCCTAGCCTTGTAAAGTGAAAAATCATGTTTGGGAGAAGAAACCAAGGACATGGTCCAGCTACCATTTGCTAAGGAACTTAGCACTGATAGAAGGAATCATCAAGACAATGGGAGAAAGGTCGGGAAGGCATATTAAAGATCTTCTAGGCTCCTCCTCCCATATTAGGCCCAGAGCTCCAGAACACAGAATGGTTTTACGGAATGGGATCATGGCCCCCTACAGGGTCTCTACCAGTTTCTGCTTCCTGTGCTTGATATAACACTCCTTGGTCACCCCAGCTGTGGTTTAGGTTTATTTAGCAAACATTCAATGATTTAGGTACTACCCCCACCCCACCCTAGATAGTTCTTAGAATGCAATATTATTTATTTGTTGATATATCTGATTATATATTTATTTCTTGAGGATAGAGATTATCTCATTCACCTTAATCATTAATAGTTAACAAGGGATCAGCACGTAACAAGGGCTCGGCAAATATTTGTTGGTTTAAACATATATCATGCAGCAGGAGCCATATTAGCCACATTATCTATATAATTCTTCTGTCAGCAAACTTTACCCAAGATAAGATCAATTTGACTTGATCTTATGGCCTAGAAAGAAATTATTATACAGTATGCTTATATTCTTATCATATGGAGCCTAACCTTTATCATGTATTAACTGGTAATCTTATTTTATCAGTACCTAAAAGTTTACATTATGAGAGCGATGGCAGCCAGCTAGGGCAACATGTGTTCAAATCTAGAAATGTTGGTCTGAAGATGTATAAAATTCCGTTTCTGGAGTATCTCTTTGCTTGACTGTTTTACATAATTGAAATGTTAATCATGTGATTTAATATTTAGAATAGTTTTCCTAAATATGAAATTAAATTATTAAATCTATTTTATTTTTGAAAAAATGACATTAAGCTTTGTTCTGTAACACATCTGTCTGATCATGTCACCACCTTTATCCTTCCGGCCTTCATCTCTTTACATACCTCCTGGGTATCTTCACCTATTCTCTTCTACCATCCTGCTTATTCTCACATACTGAGCAAATGTTTGTTTCTTGCTAAATTTTTAAAAGTTCATTTATCTTATCACTCTACTAGGGCTACAAGCTTCTGGGCAGTGACTGGACCTTTTCTTTCTCTTCCTTTTTTTTTTCTTGACAGGGTCTTCCTCTGTCATCCAGGCTGGAGTGCAGTGGCACGGGCAAAGCTCACTGTAATCTCAAACTTCTTCGCTCAAGGGATCCTCCCTCCTTAGTCTTCTCAGTAGCTAGGACTACAGGCATGTACCACTACACCCAACTGATTACTTTTTGGAGAGACAAGGTCTCCCTATGTTAGCCAGTGTATTTTCTTCGTATATTATGGTGCTTAGGATATATGGTCAGCATGTAGGAGGAGCTCTGATTACTCAATTAAAAAGTTTACCCACATGTTCTGAATTATTCTGCCTTCAATTTAAGATGTGTTTTACTCTTTCTCGTGGATTATATTGAAGAACACATCCATATTTTTCCATTTACCGATACGATGTGCCAACCAATTGTTTGAGGTGTATAGCTTCATTTCTTACATCTCCCCTGAAGTGTAGACCCGTATATTCTATTGTGTCCTTGACATTTTCACGAGGATGCCTAAAAGGCAATTTAAATGTATGTTTTAAATTTAATTCTTGTCTTCCTCCCCCATACCTGCTCTTTCCCCAGTGTTCTCCACCTTAGTGATTGGCTTCTGGTTCACCTGGTTGTCATGACAAAAACTTTAGCATTATTGTTCATTGCTGTTTTTCTGTCATATCCCACAGGCATTCCTATTGGCGTTCCCTTTAAAACACAGCCCTCTTAACCTTTACCCCCTCCACTCCACCATCAGTTTCTCACCTGGATTACTGCAACAGACTGCTCTTCGGCCTCTCTGCTACTCCCTTTGCCCACCCCCCAGCACACACCAAGTCTGTTCTTCACATAGTCGGAGCCAATGAAAACCCAAATGTGATCATGTCCGAAACTTCCAAGGGCTCTCCTCCACATTTAAATAAAATTCACAGAATCTGTACAGCCTGCAAATCCCTGCACATCTGGCCCTTCACTGTCTTTCTGACCTCATCTCCCACTATTCCCATTACTCACATTCTCTAGCCACACTGTTCCTGTACAGATCTTTAACCACGTTTCTGCCTCAGGTCCTTTGTACACGCCATTGCTGCCCCAACATACTTTTTCTCAGGAATATATACATCTCTCACTTAAGTCTATTGTTTAAACATTGTCTTATTATAGAGGTGAATCCTGACCATTCTTCACAAAGTAACATATTCTCATCTCCGTAACTGTTTCCTTACTCTATTTTACTTCATAACCTTAATGCCAAACTCACATTATAATGCAGATATATTTTTATCTTCCTCCACAAGAATGTAAGTTTTTTAAAGGAAGAAATTTGCTTGTCTTTTTCACTGTAATCCCTGTACTTAGGGAAATTGCTGACATATAATATGTCCTTTTAAAATGCAATTTTTGAGTGTGACCGAATTTCTCTCTGTGCTCAATTTAGAGTACATCTGCTTTCTTATTTGTTGTTCTGCATGAGATTGGGCTCCATTTTTAAGATTGCTGGACTGTATTTTCTAAGGATGTCTTTAATTTGTGCATTATTAAACTTATAACCTTCTGAATTATTAATTTGATTGTGCATTCCTTTTAGGATAATTCATCATATATTTCATCTTTGATAAGTCATTCTTAGGAAGATGGAGTGAAAAATAAAGATATCTTTTAGAATTTAAAAGTAGAAATTTTGGCCACCAGATGGAGACCCAGTACTGACTTTTTGTGATAGGTTGACTATCCGAGAGAAGTAACCTTAAGAATACATGCTTAAACTGAAATGCATTTTTTTTACTCCTCATTTGTATATTTCTAGCAACTTTACTCATTAGAGATATTATTACCTATATCAAGGAAGGTGTGGAGTGGTTAGCAAGTTGTACTAGAGAAGAATCATAGAATATAAAGCAACCAGAGGCGAATGTATTTGAAGATCAGGGTTCTTAGCTGATTCTCTGGTAAAGTAAGGTCAGAAGAGAACAGGCTGTTGAAGAAAGTGAAAATGTGCGGGTAATGCTGAGTGATGGAATGTTAGAGCCAAGGGAAATGTGTTAGAGGGGAAAAGGGCCAGACAGGAAAGAGTTCAGAAGGGAAAAATAACTTGTGATAAAATAGGTGTAACTACAGCGTGCCTTCCTGACACAGCAGAGTAGAGAGACAATAAGAGTCATAAAGTAGATTTCAGAACGTCTTTGGTGGCAAGGATCTTCTAACTGGCCAGGCAGGTTGGATCTGCTTGTTCATTCCCAAATGAATGGGGACATTGGCTGACTTTATCACTCTATCTCTTTTATTTTTGGAATCATTTTTCCACAGTGCCATGTAATGTGGAGACTACATGTACCACATGAGGTACCTAAATATAACAATAAATACATTTCCTCTGGAGTTCTTAGCAAATAGGATTTCTTCATACTTGAAAGAAGAAACACCCCAGAAGGGAGAATTAAATAATTTTTCAATTTTTACTCACTGAGTTTTATTTACCTTACTTTCAGCAGTGGCCACACAAAAAAATCTCTTTATGCCAATGCCAGGAGGAGAAAAATAGTTCATAGCTTACATGCTATTTGACCTAAACATTAGAAGAGAAATTTGCCTTTTGTTTCATCGTCACCTTACGAAGAGGTTGATGATCTCTGCTCTGTTTTTCTTTCACCCCACAAACAGCAATAACCTTTTAATTGCTCTCTCTGCCTCTGCTCTCTTTTCTGTCCAATTTTGGCCCTCTGCAATCCTATGAAGCTAATTTACCTAAAACAAAAATGACCCAGCTGTATTTTTTTTTCCAACTAAAATCTGTCAGAGACTGCATTGAGTGCAGGGTAGAATCCAAACTCGTTAGCATAGCGAATTCTCCTGACCCTGACCCTACCTAGATTCTAGACTTGATGTTCAGCTCAGGTGTAACTTTTGAAGCCTTCCTTAACTCTTCTAGCAAAAGTGATAGAGCCACCTCTTTCGTGTTGTCATGGTTTTGTTTGCACTGTTACAGTAATCCCTTCTTATGTGTAGTTTTGCTTTCCACTGTTTCGGTTACCTGCAGTCAGCTGCAGTCCAAAAACAGGGGAGTCTAGTACAATAAGGTATTCTGAGAGAGTGAGAGAGACCACATTTACGTAACTTTTATTACAGTATATTGTTATAATTATTGTTGTTAATCTCTTACCATGCCTAATTTACAAGTTAAACTTTATCATCGGTATGTATGTGTAGGAAAAAAAAACATAGTACAGGGTCCCACATCCACAACCCAAATCGATGGGTTCAGTCAACTGCAGATAGAAAATGTGACAACAAAAATAACAAAAATATTTTATTGAAATATTTTTTATTTCAATAAAAATAACAAGACAACAATAAAAAATGATACACATAAAACAATATGGCCTCTTGGGCAATGTAAATATAAATTTACATAGCATTTACATTGTATCGGGTCTTATAAGTAAGTTAGAGACAATTTCAAGTATACGGGAGGATATGCATAGGCTATATGCAAATACTACACCATTTTATATCCAGGACTTGAGCATTTGCAGATTTTGGTATTCATGGGGGTGCTAGAGCCAATCCCCCAGATGTACTGAGGGATGACTGTATATTTCTGTTTTGGTATGACCCATGGTTTTATGGAATCCACTGAAGGTCTTGGAACTATCCCCTGAAGATAAGGGGGACTACGGTATTAAATCACTTTTCACCTTATGTTGTATTTAATTTTATTGATTTTGATCTTACATAGGTTTTGAGTTCCTTGAGATCGGGGATCCTATTTCCCAAGGTCTTCAGTGAAAGAATTATTTACTGAGAATTATTGTTACCGAGAGAGCAATTAGCAAATTTTTTTGATGAACCTTTCAATTTTGTTTCTGTAACCTTCCAGTTTTGGTTTTGTAAAAAACTATAGTATCATTTATTTTCTGTCATTGTTTTCTACAGACTTTAGATAACCAATCTGATTTAAAAATTGTTTGCATTTTAATGTTCAAAACCAAAATAGCCTCTTGGGCAAATAGAAAAACAAAGAGGGTATTGTTATTTTAACCTCTTATAATGTAACTCATTCATTGCCTTTATAGTACATCATGAATACAATTTAATAGAATCATTTTCTCTTTTAATAGTTACATACAAATTGAACACCAATAAGGTTAATCAGTAACCATGTAGTATTAATCAACATGAAGAATCAGTTTCAATCTACATACTCCCTCTCAAAACTGCTTACATCAAATGCACCGAAACAACAGTATAGAAATTGACTGAAGTACAGGATAGTGAGTACTAGTAATCCCAATATTGAGGAATACTTTAGGATTCATTTATTTATTTATTTGGCAAACATTTATTCAGCATCTACTATTTGTCAGGCACTGTCCCTGACCTGGAGAATATCTGTAAATAAAAGAGTCAGCTCTCAACTCTCATGGAATTTAACATCTCATTTTGGAGACAGACAGTGAGAAGTAAACAATAAATGAGCAATATGATTTTGGATAATGGTAATTGCTGTTAGGAAAATCAAGCAGAGGAATAATGTATAGAATTGATGAAATGTGAAGAAGCAGTTTTACTTTTTTTTCTCATCTAAAAGATTATGTGAGCAATGATGGTAGTTTAGATTACAGTAGTAGTGGTAAATATGGTAAAAAGTATATGTATATGGGATATATTTTGGAGATGGAGGTATCAAGACTCTGATAGATTGGATGTGAAAGATAAAGAGATTTTTAAAAGGATGATTTAAAGTTTTTTTTTCTTTTGCTTGAAAAAAATCTTTCAGATTTTAGTAAAACAAATTGGATTTTGAAATTCTTGCACTTTTATGCTTAAAACTAAAAGGATATGGGGATGGTTTACTGGACTGGGAGGATGTTCAATAGACATACAGGGTAAAAAGGAGTGGGAGACCCAAAGTATTCATCAGTCCTAAATACTCTTGCTTACTCTTTCAGATCACTTTCTCCCTCTTATCTAAGAAATTCTATACTTTGTGGCATTATCAAATAATTCGATAAATCTTAATATCATCACCCCAACAACCATTGCCATGTAAACCTGGAAATAAACTAAAATGTCTAGTGAGAGGGTGTATTTGTCAGAGTGTGCTAGATATTTTCTGTTTTTCCCTCCAAATTTACTATCCACTCTTTTTCAGCCTTTTCTGTTTCCCAGAGGCTGACTTTATGGATTACATCAATGGGATATCTTATCCTCTGGATTTTGTTTAGGTTTGGCCAATGGGATACATAGACAGGAGATCTATGTGTGGGAAAATAATGAGATTGGCATGTTTATTTGCCTTCCTTCCTCACTACCAACTTACCATGGGCTTGCTGTGTTCCTTTTCTGAGGACCACAGCTCTGACCTGGTGATCCTCTCCTACAGCTACTCTCACTGGGTTTTAGTATCCACTTTGTCCCCTTCCTCCTTAAGGCTTAGGGGATTTCTTGTTGCTAGTCCCTAGGGTACTGCACCATCCCTTGTTGATTCCCTTTAACCCCTTCTATAGACCTTTATTAAAGTGTCTTCAAAGACCCCTAACTATACCATTTGTTTCCTTCTAGGACTTTATTTTTTCATTTGACAGCCACAGAAGCTGACTTTGGCTGAATTAAGCAATGAAGAAATTAACTGCAAAGGTTATTAGGTATCTGATAGAATTATCTGAAATCATGTTGCATAACTTGCCCAATGAGAAAACTGTCACTGTTGCTACTATCCCTATGTAACCCTAGATGCAATTGTTGCTAGTCATTGTTCCCTACCAATACCATTTCTGATTCAGAAATGGAACCTTAAAATCAATAAGAAATGGCTGTTCCTGCCACTAGTGCCAAAAAAAAAAAAAAAAAAAAGGAAGCTTCAGGCAGAACTGGTTTTCTCACATTGCTCTTTTCTGGTTTTCTCACATTGCTCTTTTCTGGTTGGCCAAAAATACGGTATGTCCCTTCTGGTTCTTTGGCTACCCCATATCAATAAACACTCATATTCCATACTCAAACCTTTAAAATATGTAAAATGCTATTTGTTGATGCAATACAACTATCATTTAAAATGAAAATGAATACATGATCACAATATCCTCAAAAGAGACAACCCAAAGTATCCTAAATTAATTCATTTGACTGTAAGTCTGGCCTCTCTGAGTGATATCCATTTCTTTTCTGGTTTTATTGTAATCCTGTTTTGACATTCTATAACTTGTGGACTAAAATGTGAAATTAGCCACTATCAAAACATCCCAGACAAAAATAGTAGTGGAACTGGAGTGGGCAAAGAAATTAGGTATAATTTATAAATACATTTACAAAAAGCAAGGAAGAAAATATGGGGACATGATACAGCTCTTGCTTCTTCAACTAGTTACAAGTCCATAGTTACTATGTTTTCATTCTCTTTCTTATCATGCATTTGTTTCATGGCTTCTTTCCTTTCATCCAGCACCTTAGCTGGTCTTATCTCTTTACATGATAGGGGATGCAAACCTTTGTTTCTGGGGGATTTGAGCCTTTGTAGTCTTGCCTGGATGGCATCATCCTACTCTTCTGTAGCCCCAGGTAGGGTAGTGCCAGGAGGCCCTCCAGGGGATCTTGAGTTATATTCATTCTCTTCCCTGTCCCAGTTGTGAAAAAGCATTCCTATTTTTCATTGAAAATTAGGAGCAATCACTCCAGCCAACAACATTACAACCCTTCCCTGCATTTTCTAAAGAATTTATTCATCCAGTGGTATTAGGAGTCATAAATAGCCAGGTAGCAGGCTGTTTTGTTTTGAGTTTTTATTTGGACTGACTCTTGCACCCCTGAATGAAAGCATTCTCTTGGGTAATGAGAACATCTAAAATAGAAGAGCCCAGAATAGTAATGAGACACAAACATTTTGCAATTAAGTCATTAGTTGTAAAAGTTAGATGTGATTTCCACCATTTGGTTCCTGGAACTGTTTATTCTGGCTATGGAAAATATGGGACATACATGGATCGCTGGTTCAGAGTATATTCTTCATCTATTAGGACTGCATCACAAGGTATTTAAGTTATTGTCTTTTGGAGACTATGAGAAGTGCATCTTCAACTAATTCACCATTTTTAATGGAGAGTTGCATTTGGGTAATGAGGTACCTGTTAAGACCAATGAATTCCATAAACAGTAAAAATTATTCTTCCTTATTTTACTTTCAAATTAGTTGTTTGTTAAAAGCAACGTATGTGATATTGTGACACTCAATGACACATTCAGTAAGTACTCAGATGATAGTTTATGGCAGAAGAGTGGCTAAAAGGGAAAGTAAATCCAAATCCAGAGAAAATGTCTGTTTTGTAAGGACAAATTACTGGCCTTCCGTGATGGGAAAATTCAATGAAATTAACTGCTACTGGGTAGCTGATTGGCCCTTTGGGATTGGTATCCTCTTGGAAGTTCACTGTCAGTTTCTATTGCTTGAAAGTTTGTTTCTCTGCAATGAGATAATCCCAGGTGAGCTGAAATATGTATTGACGAAACATTGCAAACCTCCACCCTTGCCACCGTGGCCATTTTGTTAATAAATTTATTAAGCAAGTACTGGGTAATCTGGGAAAGGAAATTGACTGACATTCACAGGCCGCATTATCTTTTCTTTCATTTTTGTAGGGAGCCTCTTGTGTAGAGGTGGCATGCTCTACATATGAGACATAAATATTTTCACGTTTTTGGCCCTTTCTGAGAGGTCTATCCCTGTGCCTCTTTCTCCATACCCTTCATGTCTAATCCTCTAGTCATCTTACTTCAAAGATTCTGTTAATCCATATGGGCATTTTAAACTTCTCACTGGTTGGATTTTACATCCCCATTGTTCTGTGCAAGGCCACTTGAATTGCATAATAATGCTCCAGCAATCTGTCCTTCCTCAGTCAGCTGGCCACAAGGAGCTCTCCCTAGGACCAGAAGCGTGGGTTGAGAGGGAGGTGGCAGTGCAGCATACAATGAACGTTGCGTCCAGAATCCAAAGAAGTCCCCTGGACGTTAGACTTGTTTCTTGGCAGTGGAGATGACAGGCATGGCTATTTTCCTTTTGCTTTGTAGGGAATATTCTAACATACCTTAGGTCACTGGAGCCCCAGAATCTTTAATAAGGTTTCAGGTCCCTGTATTTTCATGGATTATTTCGAGTGCTTGACCACACACGTGACTTAGCAAAGTATCAAGTTTACTTTATACTTCCTAGTTCCCAGATTCCATCAGTATGACTCTGTTAATATAATGCACTAGCATCATGTTCTGCAAAATGGGAAACAGTAAAAGTCCAAGTAGACTAGATTGTTTTACCAGCCCTGAGAGGTGGTTTACCCTGAGGCAAAATAATGAAAGTTAACTTCTGCTACTGCTGAGTGAGAACAAGCTGCGTTGAGTATTGTTTCTTTAGTGGTCAGTAGAAAAAGAATTTCCAGATCACAAGCTGCATGTCAGGTGCTAGGAGTTGGTTTGCTTTACTTTAGTGAAGAGGCCACCACAACTGGACTGGAGGCTTCAATTGACATAATCACTTGATAAAGTTTTCCTTCTCTAAGACCTGTCTTGGAGTTAAGTAGGAAAGTGTTAGGAATTTGTACCTCAGTGGCCTCCAAGAATTTGGTGGTGGCACTAATTTTTATAATTCTCCAAAGATATCTGGTGTTCCTTTAAATGTACTATTTAGATGAAAAGATGGCATTCCAGAAGGTTCCACTTGGCCATTCCTACCATAACAGACATTACATTAAAGAGTTAATGTCAGCTGGGCGTGGTGGCGCATGCCTGTAATCCCAGCTACTCGGGAGGCTGAGGCAGGAGAATTGCTTGATTCTGGGAGGCGGAAGTTGCAGTGATCCGAGATTGTGCCATTGCACTCCAGCCTGGGCAACAAGAGTGAAACTCCACCTCAAGAAAAAAAAAAAAAAGAGTTAACATCAGCATTCAGCATTTTCTGTTTCTTAGTTTGTCTAGTCCAACTATATGCTAAGGACCTGGGAAAAGGACCGTAGGATGCGTCCATTATCATACTGAGCTGTCTGCAAGACTGATTTGTATCTGAACTCCATTTATCTGTGACTAGTTTACAATAGTAACTTTCTGGATTCCTAGGGTTTAACATTTACTTAATGTGCAACAGTTGCCTAAAGATCTAGGCATTTCCCTACCCCTAATGGCCTCAGGTGCCCTTGGGGAAAATTAGGAAGAGGAGTTATGGAATGTACTACAGGTAGCTAACCTCCCTTTCATTTAAGAAGCTCTGGGTCTGTGAACTAACTCAGACCTAAGTATTATGTGAAAGGCTGTGTCTCTATTTTGGTGACTCACGTCAGGCCTGTTTAACAGATCCAGAGGTTTTTGAGTTATACAAATCATATAGAACTTCCGAAGGCTGCCTATTTCTCTCAGGCCTCTCATCAATTATTTAATACCAAAAGTCACTACTACTCAGAACATCCTGGCTACCACTCAACAATAATTATGCCCTCTTTTCTTTTTGGTGGTGAAGTTCAGCCCCTAGGCTGATACCGTCCTGAGATCTAATCATTCCAATAGAATCATCATCCTTGTGTCTCTTGTGGCCACCACCACCAGCATCCTGCTCTACAGAGAACAGACACTATGACACTTTTCACAGATGCTGGTACCCGCCTCAACCAAGGTATTTCTAAATTACTTAATTAGAGAATGTCTTCTAGGTTTTCTTGGGAGACAAAGGAGGATGAGTGAGTGAGCCATTCATGATAAATGAACTTCAGCCTTACTATCTCCCCAAATTGCTGGATACCTTTCAATGCATTATACCAAGGATTTCCTGACAGACCCTTCGACTTCATTTAATGTAGTGACATTGAGAAGAAGGTCGTCACCAAGTAAACAAAAAATTAAAACCATTTGCAGCTGCTCAAGCCAATACATCAAATTCGGAATCCTTGGTAAGTAAACTCATATTGATAAATGATTCTCAAAATTGTTAGTCCGCTCTTGGCCTTGTGCCCTTAGAGTCAATTCCCAGACATCCTCTCCAATTTTTTTAATGTTAAAATAATCACCCTTGCGGTTCTTTTCACGATTAGGTTTTTTCTGTCGGGTTGAATTTTGTAACTGGCTCTCTATGGAATGCCACACTTTGATTCTGGTTATAGGTCCAGTGACAATCCGAAGGGGTTTGAGAGGAATTGTCTCTTCCTTAAAAAATAGCTGCTTTAGAAAAAGTCTTGAAAGACCTTGCTCTTCAAGCAAATTAAAAACAGCCCTATAAATCAGGAGGGAATGGGCTGCTTTTGGCAAGGGCTCCTCAGAAGACATAGATACTGGAGTAATTTAGGTTATTTCAAACCTCCTATACGTTTCCATTCTAATGTTTGGGGGCATAATATTTCCCAATTATTGTTCTGCCTTTCACATAAAAAACTTGATGAAGCTATAAAGTCGATACTTCCTGATTAAGATAAGGAAGCAGCAAGAAAAAAATTATTTTTAGCTACTTTGGCCTTGTTATAGCTGTGAATAACTTTTTATCCCACTGTTAAAGAAATTCTGTGCTTTTAAATCTTTGCCTTGAGGTGAGAGTTTAGGACTTTGACCTTGTCTTCATTTAAGCTCTCCAGTAGAGTAAGTAGCAGGCAGTTTCTTACAAAACTCCAATTCCTCGTGCTCTTCACGTTCTTCATGCCTTTCTATGGCCGTGGTCACTAGATCCCTCAAGGCATTGCCTCCAATGCATTGCCTCCAATGGTTCCTTCATCCCAGTGACCACAGGGGTTTTATATATATATATATATATATATATATATATATATATATATATATATATATATATATGCTCAGCCTCCCAAAGTGCTGGGCTTACAGGCATGAGCCACTGCGCCTGGCCCACAGGGGTAATTTAATTAGCAGTTTCATCGCTGAGCGCCTTCAGGTAGTAGGTACTAGATTTCTTTTTTTGGCAGATGCATCAGCACCAGTCAGTAGTGAATTCTATGGAGTTCTGAAAAAATGACGTTAGCACAGAAATATTAGGATGCATAGAGAATCAGAAAAAAAAAAATCTAATCCATGTTCCACCTGTAACCTGATGAGGAAACCATCATTCGCTACTGTTGTCCTGTGGTGCTTCAGAAGAAACTAATGCCACCCATGCTGCATCTGCAAAGTCATTTGTACTGAGAACTTCAGTGATCAAATAGGGTGAAGTCTTCCCCCCACTGCTATTGCAGTTGAAGCCCAGACACCTCTGCCACCACCCACACATGGATTGCAGGTAAGGAGGAACTTCCACACAGAGCCCATTACCTCATGTTGCTGATATCTGATTCCAAGTTTTGTACAGGCACATTTTAGACTAAGCCACCTGCCTGAATGCTAAGGAGACTGCATTTTGTGTTCTGACTTTTATGCTGGGAAAGTGAATTCTTGAGATGAGAATTTTCCAAATATAGAAAGGCTGTTCATTCAAAAGATGTGGGGTAGTCATGGCCGTCAGGAATATTTACAGAGGACATTGGATGATTTTTTTTTCTTTTTTACTTATTTTACTTTTGGTTCATATGCAATAAATATTAAATGAATGTTTTATGTAACTATATTTTGTTTTTAGTGAAAGGAAAATTATCCTAAACTATTACAATGTAATTTTATTAATGTTGACTATCTTAATGGATAATGTATATTTTTAATATGTAACTGAACATTAACGTAGAGATAAGATGATTATAGTCTAATTATTAATAAATTGAATTAGTTTATTCTAAAAATATTTACTTATCCAAAATTAAAATGTGTATTTTAAGAGACTATTTTTTACTTTTTAGTTTGATGATTAAACTGCAACTTAAATTATTTAAAATTATTTGTTTCTCCCACATTTATATAGTTTTAGTTTTTACAACTGTTTTGTTTTCTTGTTTCCTGTTGGATTCTTTCATATTGAAATATACAGATGTTCCTCTTACGTTACACTTCTGTTTTTTTCTTTGCTCCATTTTTTCTTCATCTTTCTTTTCTTCACTTAATCTCCCAGTTGGCTGAAATGAGTTTTCCCAGTGTTCTGTCACTCCAGCTCTGATCTTCTCTCTCTACACTCAGGCCATTGGTAACATCATCCATTCTCACTTCTCCGAGCTTGGCTGCTGTGGATCCTGATCTGAACATCTAGCTTAAATCGTACCAGCATCAAAGCACCATATTTCCAATGGACATAGTATTTTCCTTGATGTCTTTCAAACTGCAGATTTTATTCTGCTTTGTGCCATGTTTTCTAATTTAATTAATCCTATTCCTGTCCTCTCAGGTACCCAGGTTCAGAAAAGAGTATCGTGCTTTCCTGCTGCCTTGCAGTGTGCCTCCTAGCCAGTCATTGAGTCGTCTTGGGTCTACTTGTTCAAGTTGCTGTCAAGTCATCTGTAACTTTTGGCTTTTCCCCCATGCCACCTCCTTCATATGGCTAAGTCCTATTCATTCTCCTTCAAGTCTCACCTTGGAAGTTACTTCTTTCTGGAAACCTCCCCCAACACCTGCAAACGTTAAAGATGAACCAGAGACTTTAGGTTGGGGGGAGTGGGGGTAGGGTAGAGGCTACAAATAGATGAAAAACACTTTTAAATAGAGGATACCCAGAGTATGAATAGATGAAAAACACTTGTAAATAGAGGGTACCCAGAGTGCTGGGAAAATGGGTGGGAAGGGTGTATTAGTTTGTTCTCGCATTGCTATAAAGAACTGCTTGAGACTGGGCAATTTATAAAGAAAAGAGATTTAATTGACTCACAGTTCTGCAGGTTGTACAGGACGCCTGGCTGTGGAGGCCTCAGGAAATTTACAATCATGGTGGATGGTGAAGGGGAAGCAGGCCCGTCTTACATGGCAGGGGAAGTACGAAAAGAGTGAAGGGGAAGGTGCTACACACTTTTAAACAACCAGATCTTGTGAGAACTCACTCACTATCATGAGAACAGCAAGTGGGATGTCAACTCCCATGATCCAGTTACTTCTCACCAGGTCCCTCCTCCAGAACTGGGGATTACAATTTGACATGAGATTTGGGTGGGGACACAAATCCGAACCACATCAGAGGGTGTGGAGGATTCCACACTGGATAGCCAAATGGACAGCCTCACTTTCTGAGTGCCACTCCTTCTTTAGACTTTGTGAGATTGTAAAGGAATAAACATTTATTTTATTTATTTATTTTTATTTTTTATTTTTATTATTATTATACTTTAAGTTTTAGGGTACATGTGCACAATGTGCAGGTTAGTTACATATGTATACATGTGCCATGCTGGTGTGCTGCACCCATTAACTCGTCATTTAGCATTAGGTATATCTCCTAATGCTATCCCTCCCCCCTCCCCCCACCCCACAACAGTCCCCAGAGTGTGATGTTCCCCTTCCTGTGTCCATGTGTTCTCATTGTTCAATTCCCATCTATGAGTGAGAACATGCGGTGTTTGGTTTTTTGTCCTTGCGATAGTTTACTGAGAATGATGATTTCCAATTTCATCCATGTCCCTACAAAGGACATGAACTCATCATTTTTTTTTTTTTTTTTTTTTTTTTTTGAGACGGAGTCTCGCTCTGTCGCCCAGGCCGGACTGCAGACTGCAGTGGCGCAATCTCGGCTCACTGCAAGCTCCGCTTCCCGGGTTCACGCCATTCTCCTGCCTCAGCCTCCCGAGTAGCTGGGACTACAGGCACCCGCCACCGTGCCCGGCTAATTTTTCGTATTTTTAGTAGAGACGGGGTTTCACGAACTCATCATTTTTTATGGCTGCATAGTATTCCATGGTGTATATGTGCCACATTTTCTTAATCCAGTCTATCATTGTTGGACATTTGGGTTGGTTCCAAGTCTTTGCTATTGTGAATAGTGCCGCAATAAACATACGTGTGCATGTGTCTTTATAGCAGCATGATTTATAGTCCTTTGGGTATATACCCAGTAATGGGATGGCTGGGTCAAATGGTATTTCTAGTTCTAGATCCCTGAGGAATCGCCACACTGACTTCCACAATGGTTGAACTAGTTTACAGTCCCACCAACAGTGTAAAAGTGTTCCTATTTCTCCACATCCTCTCCAGCACCTGTTGTTTCCTGACTTTTTAATGATCGCCATTCTAACTGGTGTGAGATGGTATCTCATTGTGGTTTTGATTTGCCTTTCTCTGATGGCCAGTGATGGTGAGCATTTTTTCATGTGTTTTTTGTCTGCATAAATGTCTTCTTTTGAGAAGTGTCTGTTCATGTCCTTCGCCCACTTTTTGATGGGGTTGTTTGTTTTTTTCTTGTAAATTTGTTTGAATTCATTGTAGATTCTGGATATTAGCCCTTTGTCAGATGAGTAGGTTGCGAAAATTTTCTCCCATTTTGTAGGTTGCCTGTTCACTCTGATGGTAGTTTCTTTTGCTGTGCACACGCTCTTTAGTTTAATTAGATCCCATTTGTCAGTTTTGGCTTTTGTTGCCATTGCTTTTGGTCTTTTAGACATGAAGTCCTTGCCCATGCCTATGTCCTGAATGGTAATGCCTAGGTTTTCTTCTAGGGTTTTTATGGTTTTAGGTCTAACACTTAAGTCTTTAATCCATCTTGAATTAATTTTTGTATAAGGTGTAAGGAAGGGATCCAGTTTCAGCTTTGTACATATGGCTAGCCAGTTTTCCCAGCACCATTTATTAAATAGGGAATCCTTTCCCCATTTCTTGTTTTTGTCAGGTTTGTCAAAGATCAGATAGTTGTAGATATGCGGCATTCTTTCTGAGGGCTCTGTTCTGTTCCATTGATCTACATCTCTGTTTTGGTACCAGTACCATGCTGTTTTGGTTACTGTAGCCTTGTAGTATAGTTTGAAGTCAGGTAGCGTGATGCCTCCAGCTTTGTTCTTTTGGCTTAGGATTGACTTGGCGATGCAGGCTCTTTTTTGGTTCCATATGAACTTTGAGGTAGTTTTTTCCAATTCTGTGAAGAAAGGCATTGGTAGCTTGATGGGGATGGCATTGAATCTGTAAATTACCTTGGGCAGTATGGCCATTTTTGCAATATTGATTCTTCCTACCCATGAGCATGGAATGTTCTTCCATTTGTTTGTATCCTCTTTTATTTCATTGAGCAGTGGTTTGTAGTTCTCCTTGAAGAGGTCCTTCACGTCCCTTGTAAGTTGGATTCCTAAGTATTTTATTCTCTTTGAAGCAATTGTGAATGGGAGTTCACTCATGATTTAGCTCTCTGTTTGTCTGTTATTGGTATATAAGAATGCTTGTGATTTTTGTACATTGATTTTGTATCCTGAGACTTTGCTGAAGTTACTTATCAGCTTAAGCAGATTTTGGGCTGAGACAATGGGGTTTTCTAGATATACAATCATGTCATCTGCAAACAGGGACAATTTGACTTCCTCTTTTCCTAATTGAATACCCTTTATTTCCTTCTGCCTAATTGCCCTGGCCAGAACTTCCACCACTATGTTGAATAGGAGTGGTGAGAGAGGGCATCCCTGTCTTGTGCCAGTTTTCAAAGGGAATGCTTCCAGTTTTTGCCCATTCAGTATGATATTGGCTGTGGGTTTGTCATAGATAGCTCTCATTATTTTGAGATACATCCCATCAATACCTAATTTATTGAGAGTTTTTAGCATGAAGCATTGTCGAATTTTGTCAAAGGCCTTTTCTGCATCTATTGAGATAATCATGTGGTTTTTGTCTTTGGTTCTGTTTATATGCTGGATTACATTTATTGATTTGTGTATATTGAACCAGTCTTGCATCCCAGGGATGAAGCCCACTTGATCATGGTGGATAAGCTTTTTGATGTGCTGCTGGATTCGGTTTGCCAGTATGTTATTGAGGATTTTTGCATCAGTGTTCATCAAGGATATTGTTCTAAAATTCTCTTTTTTGGTTGTATCTCTGCCCGGCTTTGGTATCAGGATGATGCTGGCCTCATAAAATGAGTTAGGGAGGATTCTCTCTTTTTCTATTGATTGGAATAGTTTCAGAAGGAATGGTACCAGTTCCTCCTTGTACCTCTGGTAGAATCCGACTGTGAATCCGTCTGGTCCTGGACTCTTTTGGTTGGTAAGCTATTGATTATTGCCACAATTTCAGATCCTGTTATTGGTCTATTCAGAGATTCAACTTCTTCCTGGTTTAGTCTTGGGAGGGTATATGTGTCGAGGAATTTATCCACTTCTAGATTTTCTAGTTTATTTGCGTAGAGGTGTTTGTAGTATTCTCTGATGGTAGTTTGTATTTCTGTGGGATCGGTGGTGATATCCCCTTTATCATTTTTTATTGCGTCTATTTGATTCTTCTCTCTCTTTTTCTTTATTAGTCTTGCTAGCAGTCTATCAATTTTGTCGATCCTTTCAAAAAACCATCTCCTGGATTCATTAGTTTTTTGAAGGGTTTTTTGTGTCTCTATTTCCTTCAGTTCTGCTCTGATTTTAGTTATTTCTTGCCTTCTGCTAGCTTTTGAATGTGTTTGCTCTTGCTTTTCTAGTTCTTTTAATTGTGATGTTAGGGTGTCAATTTTGGATCTTTCCTGCTTTCTCCTGTGGGCGTTTAGTGCTATAAATTTCCCTCTACACACTGCTTTGAATGTGTCCCAGAGATTCTGGTATGTTGTGTGTTTGTTCTCGTTGGTTTCAAAGAACATCTTTAAACAAGCCAAGTGGGAGTGCTTTGATGACAACCATTTAAGAATTATTGGATTAGATAAAATCTGAGGGTTCTTCTAGGTAATTTTTTATTATTAGAATGATCATAAAAATAAGTAAAATTATTTACTTGAGTTGATAGGCAATTCACTGTTGATTTAGTGTATTCTGGACATCTTTCCAATCAATAGATGAGATGGGAGAGTATGCTTTAAGAGCATAGATAAATGGCTTGCTGTGAGACTGAAGAAAGGCCAACTCCTCCAAACCCTGAATCTAACACAATCTTTGGTACACTTCTGAACTTTGTTTCCCTGACTGTATTTTCTTCTGCCACACATACTATCTTATGTTAATTATTGTAAACTTTTGTTTTTGGTAATGACTGGAAGTGTAAATCTTATCTCCCCTTTTTGTAGAAGATTTTAATGCTCATTCTTAACTGTTTATGCTTCTAAATTAAATTTTAAATCTGATTCAGGTTCAAAAATTGGACTCCTAATTGGCATTTCATTAATTTAAAAAATTTATATGGGATAGTTTTCATCTTCCCTCTCTTTTGCGGCCCTCAGATAGAGAGACCTGAATTTATAATACTTCTCAGTTCATAGCATGTTGTTATTATCAATTCACGCTCTACCTTCTTTGTTTTTTTCCCTCTGTTTTATTTCATGTTTTCTTTTCCTTCCTTTGTTCCTAGTGCTGCCACTTCCATTGCCTCCTCTTGATAGACATTTATCCTGATATCATGTTTGACATATGTCCTCAAATACATATGTATTTCCTTTCCTCTCCTCTCCTCTTCTCTCCCCCCTCCCCTCCCCTCCCCTCCCCTCCCTTCCCCTCCCCTCCCCTCCCCTCTCCTCTCCTCTCCTCTCCTTTCCCTCTCTTTCCCTCTCTTTCCTTCTCTTTCTCTTTCTTTCTCCTTCTGTCTTCTTTCAATGGAATCTTATTCTGTCACCAGGCTGCCGTGCAGTGGCGCGATCTCGGCTCACTGCAACCTCCGCCTCCTGGGTTCAAGCGATTCTCCTGCCTCAGCCCCCCGAGTAGCTGGGATTACAGGCACACGCCACGACACCCAGCTAATTTTTGTATTTTTAATAGAGATGGGGTTTCACCATGTTGGCCAGAATGGTCTCGGTCTCTTGACCTCGTGATCTGCCTGCCTCGGCCTCTCAAAGTGCTGGGATTACAGGTGTGAGACACTGTGTAGAGGAAGAGCTGATTTTAGAAGGGGAGATTTGGACACAGAGGAAGAACCATGGGAAGATGCAGGGAGCCATCCTCAAATCAAAGAAAGAGGCCTCAAAAGAAACCAACTCTGCCAACACTTTGATCTTGGATTTTTAGCTTCCAGAATTGTGAGAAAATAAAATTCTGTTGTTTAAGCCACCTTGCCTGTGGTATTTTGTTATGGCAGCGCTTGCAAACTAATGCAGTGCTCTCTCTCTCTCTCTCTCTCTCTCTCTCTCTCTCTCTCTCTATATATATATATATATATATATATATATATATATATATATATATATATATATATATATTTGAGTTGAATTGTCTTTGGGGATATTGCTCTGTTGCTGTTTCTAAAGTAGCTCTTTATGTAGTAAAAATATTTACTTTCTCTGTCTCATGTTGAAAGTCGTTTTCCTAGTTTCGCTTTTTCTATTTAGCTTTGTTTACATTTGATTACCTTTTAACTTTGTTTACAATGAGGTTTTAAAGTTAGAAATTTTTAAATATCAGTGCAGTCAAATCAATCATTTCTTAATATACATGGAGTTGTTTCTGAGATTTTTATTGTGTTCATTTCCAATATATGTTTATTTTGGTACTAGTATCATACTTTTTAATTATTATAAATTTTTAGTATGTTTTGACATCTGTTTCTATTATGTTTTTCTTTATAGATGCTGTGTTTTCAAATTTGCGTAAGAATACTAAATTGATATTTAATAATGTCTTGCTTTTGCTGTAAATGTGCTTCATAAATGTGTGTTTGCTTTAATTCTTTTAGATTGGTCAGTTTCTTTCAAACTAAAAAATTCTCTCCTATGGCTGCTTTTTTCTTTTAATTCCCTATTGTTATTTTGTTATTGATAGTTGTGTTTGGGGTGGAAGAACTGTATATTGATCCAATATTGAATTTATATAATTTCTCTTAAGAGAGAAAGAAAAGTACAATTAGTTTAAATTTTACTTAGCTAGATTAGGGGACTAACTGCTTTTAAAGATATAGAGCAAGAGTAGGCAGCAGCCTCTTGGCAATAATCTCACCCATATAATAATAATGGACATCTTTTTAGAGGTTTGTTTTTATTTTATTTTTTAATGTAACCAAATAGGTAGATACTCTCAGACTAGTGTGAGGCAAGCCTAGCAGGCCTGCAGGAACCTGAGAATGGGTGCCTCCTTAAATTTTGCACCCTAGGAGCTTCTCTTGCCCACTTTGGGCTTTTCTAAGGGTGGGCCAGGAATGAGTATCACGGCCCATTCTTCTGTATGTGGAACAGGTGTCTCTCCCTGGAGCTGCGTGCAGAATCTGCAGTGACAGTTGTTTCATGGTGCACTCTCTTCTGTAGCCTCTGCCACCCTAAGTTTCACGAATTGTTATTGGGGGTTCTACTTGGGGTGTCAGTACCACTCACTTACTTCCAAGTTAGGAATTTGAAAGGGGAGTTAAATATATTTGATCATTTTAAGATCTTCAAGGCTATTTACTTTGGTATTTTCTTCCAATCTTTTCTCAATCTATATATTTCATACATAGTTGAAATCAAAAATCTATACAATTTAATTTTCTGCCTTTTTCACCTAAAGGCATATCAGAAAAATTCCCTAGCTTTTGATAAACACATTTTTAATGGCCATTCAATATTTCATTGAAAAGATATATATCTCCAGGTAATCACAGGGATGAGAAAAAAAGTTTTGCTTTGCCATTTGACGTCTGATTGTTACTGTGTAAGAGATCTTATAAGCTTATTGGCAATTCAGTTTGCTATAAATATGTATCTGCTCTATGTAATACTGGGTATTTCTTAACCCTGGTGGTTGCGGAGGGGAGATAGGTAAGGAGTTTGGATTATAAATTGTAA